>NC_000006.12:162646547-162798062 GCF_000001405.40 Homo sapiens
TGCTTGGATTACAGGCATGAGCCACCATGCCCAGCTGAATTTATTGTTTTTAAATAGAAAGTACACTTGTGTAGCACTTAACATTGCAGATACATTCTGAGAAATGTGTCATTAGGTGATTTCATCATTGTGAGTACGTTATAGAGTGCACTTGCACAGACCCAGCTGGTATAGCCTACTACACACCTAGGCTGTATGGTAGAGCCTCCTGCTCCTGGGCTACAAGCTGAACAGCATGTTACTCTACTGCATACTGTAGGCAACTGTAACACACGGTAAGTATTTGTGTACCTAAACATATCTAGACATGGAGAAGGTACATTAAAAACACAGTCTTATAATCTCACAGGACCACTGTCACATATGCAGTCTGTCATTGACCAAAACATTATTATGTGGCACATGATTGTATTATAAGAAAGAAAACAAAAATGGCTCATAAGTCCACAGCCAAGGACAAAAAATACAGAAGTAAAACAAATTTAACTAGGAAGCTGAAACCATACATAAAGATACAAAATAAAGAGTAAAAGCTTCTTCCCCTTCCCTCTGAGCCCTCTCCACAAAGGTAAACACTGAGCAATTTCTCATCATTCTCTCTCTTCTAGAGAGAAAGAATAATAATATAAATAATAATGTAATATAATATAAAGAGAGTTCTCTTTCTAGAATAATGTTGATATATTAATCCAAATACATGCATCTTAAAGGTAGTATTTTGCTAAATAAATTTATAAATTAAATTTCAAAATATTTATGTGCAATAAGTAAATCAATGAGAACAAACAATCTGTTTTTGGAGAAAAAACATATTAGGTCAGATGTCATGGAGGGCTATTTTAGACTTAACAAATCTTAACACTCATTTTATTTGGGTATTTTAATTTGGTTACTTAATATTACAAAATTGTGATTCAAACGCATGAGCAGATGCACTATGGAAAGGTCTTAACAGCCTTAAAAATCTAAAATCCAGGAATCTAAGTGAGAGGTAGTTAAGAAAGTTTGGCTTTAAAGCTGAATTATTAATAATATATAGAAGCTACCTGAATCCTTTACTCATACTTATATGTCAAACAAGAACTATTCAGGGCTTTCTGGAAGTATTAAGGTCATGTTTCACCTTCACTTTTTGTGGTACAATTAAGAAAGCATGCCAGAGTTTGTAGTAATTCCTGCCACTCACCAAGGAAGCAGAAAGTTTGTTTCTGAGCTCAGTCTGATCACAACCTCACAATTTTCCCTACTTTATATTCCTTTTCTTGTCTCTTTCCTCTGTCACCACTTTATCTATCACTCCTCTATTGCAAACAATGAAGAAGTACTTTCTTTCTAGCTATATAAGATCATGTTAGAGCTCCCAGTGCTAGGTCCTAGAACCATCTCTATATGTCCACAGTGCAAAAAAAAAAAAAAAAAAAAAAAAAAAAGTCTACGGGGCAAAATTTGTTGAGTACTAGAAAAGTTCCTAAATATTCCCCCACATCACCCATTCCCAACTAATTACAGAAAGGTCACAATTTATTATAAATCAACAAATATCTGAGGAAAGGTGTAAAAAGACGAGCGATGTAAAATGGCAGTATTATATAACTCTACTGTATTAAATATCACATGTAACTACTTGACAAAGGAAAGACAGACAGCCTTCTCCAGCAAGCTTCAAAATGCTCTGCCTAAAAAATAGATTTTATAATCACGTTTTTGTAATATCTCTCTGTACTGTGATTTTACATTATACTAAATGGGATTCCAATGGTCACTATGTGTTTAAAGCATGGCAGCATTCTTTCTATATGCAACTCCTCTGAGGTAATTAAATCCTTGGTGTTCTTTCTTTTTTTATTTTTTTAAGATGGAGTCTTGCTCTGTTTCCCAAGCTGGAGTGCAGTGGTGCCATCTTGACTCACTGCAACCTCCGCCCGCCGGGTTCAAGTGATTCTCCTGCCTCAGCCTCCCGAGTAGCTGGGATTACAAGCATGTGCCACCACACCTGGCTAATGTTTGTATTTTTAGTAGAGACGGGGTTTCACCATGTTGGCCAGGTTGGTCTCAAACTCCTGACCTCAAGTGATCCACCCGCCTCAGCCTCCCAAAGTGCTGGGATTACAGGCGTGAGCCACGACAGCCGGCCAGTGTTCTCTCTTTTAAATGTCATCTTGACAGTTTGTGAGTAAGCTCCTTTTACCAACAGGCACTGATCTCATAGAGTGTGCACAAACATACAGCCTTATATGTTATGTGTTAACTTAGCTGGGCTCTGGTGCTCAGTTAGGTCAAACACTCACCTAGATATGGCTGTGGAGGTATTTTGTAGACATAATTACCATCTGCAATCAGTTGACTTTAAGTAAATAAGTTTACCCTAAAAAACTTGGGGGTCCTCATCTAATCAGTTGAAGGTCATATGAGCAAAAACCACGTTTCTTGAAGAGAAGGAATTGTGCCTCAAGACTGCAACACAGGAACCCTGTCTGAGCTTCCAGTCTGCCAGCCTGCCGCACAAATTTCAGCCTTGCCAGCCGCCACAACCATGAGCCAATTCCTTAACATATATGTATATAAACATTTCTTTCTCTGGAGAACCTTGACGGATACACATACTAAATCTCCGTCAATATAATAATCAACAAGTATTTATTGAGTGCATTTACATGCCAAACACTGTTCTAGATGCAGGTAATATAACCATCAATGAAACAGACAAAAATCTCTATTTTCATGGGGCTTATAGTTTAGTGGTACTAAGATGACTAGCAAATTGTTAGTTAAGGTAACCATATAATTCATCATACAATCCAGAGCACTTTTAAGATAAGGGTGAAATAGGATACTGGTAATGATTTTGCCAGGGCAGCATGTCTAACCCAGAGCCATCTCGACAAACCAGGATGGTACACATCATCTAAGTCTCTAGTGAAACTGAAGCCCATCTCCCCCACACGACCATGCATCTGGCTAACTGTAGAAAGTCAAAGGTGTATGTCATTAATCAAAGTTGAGGAACAGACTTGTAGATTCAGAGAGATTTGGGTTCCAATTCTCGGTTACACATTATAAAAAGTATTAAACTTTTACTCCAGCCTGGGCAACAGTGCAATACTCTGTCTCAAAAAAAAAAAAGTATTAAACTTTTATGAGTCTCAATCATGCCATTTAGAAATCCATCTAATGTGAGAACTAATGATACACATATGTACAGCATATACAGAAAGAACTGGAACCTGCCAGCCCTTCAGTAAAGTGCATGTAAAGTAAGTGATTAAGCCGAGCAGGGCTGGGGATTAAGTGGTGCACTGAAAACTTTGGTACATGAATATAAGTCTTTCTCTACTACTTTATTTTTTTAACATATGTGAATGTATGTCATTGGTTTTAACATTTTTGAAGAAAAGACAGAAATCTGAACATTCTGCCTGGGAATTAGACAGCAAAGTGCACCAGAAATGATGAAATGATGGCAAGGCTATAATTTAGAGCACGGACATACGTGACTCTCAAGCGGCCATTTATCACTGTTAAGATTGCTAAAAGTGACTTTAGGTTTACCTTTAAAAAGTTTCATATTCATTAAACTGAATTCTACACCAATATATACCGAAGTAGAAGCTGCCTTAAAAGCAGGTCCAACAATCCTTCTGCCCTGCTGGAAACTGTTGCTAGGAGACGAGAGTGAAGAGAACACTTCCTCTCCAGTGTGACCACAGGAGCTGCAACTGCTGCACACCCTCCACAATGCTTTTGAAGCAGGTTTGAAAACTCTCTGCCGGCCGGGCGCGGTGGCTCACGCCTGTAATCCCAGCACTTTGGGAGGCCGAGGCGGGCGGATCACGAGGTCAGGAGATCGAGACCATCCCGGCTAAAAACGGTGAAACCCCGTCTCTACTAAAAATACAAAAAATTAGCCGGGCGTAGTGGCGGGCGCCTGTAGTCCCAGCTACTTGGGAGGCTGAGGCAGGAGAATGGCGTGACCCCGGGAGGCGGAGCTTGCAGTGAGCCGAGATCCCGCCACTGCACTCCAGCCTGGGCGACAGAGCGAGACTCCGTCTCAAAAAAAAAAAAAAAAAAGAAAACTCTCTGCCTATGGCTGAAACCTCAGAGAGATTTTAACAGTCTACAAAGTATACAGATATCCCTAGGTATGATCTCAAGAGTGAGAAAAGCTTCCCTTTGTCTCCTAATGTTTTTCTCCATTGGCTTATCCTAGAGTCCAATAATCTTTGTCCATTCTCTTGGAGTCTTCCTAACAAAGATATAAAATTAAGGGAACTCACAGTGAAGATGATCTATTAATTCTGTGGGAGGAAGGATGAGGTTACTCACATGTAAGGACAGCATGGGTGTGACAACTGTTTCAGAAAGCAAAGTCCCAAATGCCCCAAAATTGTATTTATGTTCTTTTGTTTGCTGGTGGAGAGAATGTGAGGGAATGAGAGGTCGAGAAGATCTAAGGAGAGGAAAGATAAGAAACACATTGCCTTTTCTAGATAGGATAGGCCAGAGCAGGAGTTCATACTGAAATACTTTATTATCCTGTGAGGGTTAGTCAACTGAGAGCAACCACAATATGGCTTTGTTTGTTTGTTTGTTTGTTTGTTTAAACTGGAAAGAAACACTGTGTTTCCTTCTGATTATAAATGTAAGGCTCATTACAAACCTCCATTCTCCTGGTACATTTTTCAGAAAACAGAGAAAGTGAAAATCTCTCAAATGACACTGCCACTGACTACATTTTGATGTACATCTTCATCGATGTTCCCTTTGCATGATCACACATACACACGTGCACACCGTAACACACTTACGTGGAACTCTGTAAGTCTGAAAATAAGACAAGTTCCCTCCATCACTATAACTAATCTATCCTTCTGAAAAGGAGACTCCATCTATTCCTGTCTTCACTTCACCAGATTACCAAATGCTCTCTCAATTATTGCATTTTGAAGGAGAAAGTAGTTTGAGGAGACACATTAACCTGAAACAACCTCCTCCGTACCGAATTGGTAATTATTTCATACTAGTTACACCTCATAACCACAAATATTAACTCCTGTAAATAAGCTTTTTAAGGATCACTTTTAGAAAGTTATACTGTGCTCACACTGACAAGATCCTCAATATATGCCCATGGGAAGAAGGAAAAAAGCAGGCTTCTCAGGTTACGTAAGTGGATTTAGAGAGTGCTCTAACTCAAGCAACTTTAGGCAGTGCTGGTGCTGACATATGTGAAAAGTGTGAATAAAATTATTTCATGATAATGATAAAAATAATATTTCTAAATTGCTATCTTTTTTGTATAGTTGATTTTCATTCACTAATAAATTAATTGTTATAAGTAGATAGTTGACTTTTGCATCTTTATCCCTAAAATTTCATATGCATAATGTGGGCCACATACTTTTAAAAATAATACTCAGATATTTAGCATTACCTTATGTCGAGATTTCTCACCCTCAGTACTACTGACATTTTGGGTCAGACAGTTCTTTGTCATTGAGGTAGTCCTATGACTTGTAGAATGCTCAGCAGCTTACCAGACTTCTGCCCACTGGATGCCAGTAGCACCCCTCAATGTAACAGCCCCAAATTTCTTCAGATATCATCAATGTCCACTGGTGGCAAAACCGCCCCAGTTGATCTTTATATTTAGGGTCACCTCATATTTGGGCATACGTGGTGTCTAGCTTGCCTTTACAAAGCTGGATCCTAAGGACACAATTTTATAACCTGCTCTTCCAGCTGACTGATATGTCATAGCGATCTTCTCAGCTCATTATGTACATACTTTCAGTGTGTTCTTAACTGCTGCACTGTGCCTCATTAACAGGTTGTGTCACAAGTGTTGTATCAGTTAACAATTGTTTCCAATTTCTCAGTACCATAGTCTCTATCATTTCATATATAAATTCCTTTAAATATGTTCAATTAGTTCCTTATATTTTAAGACCAATAGTATCCTTAGAATTCATTTTAAATTTAGTTTAAATATACCTGAAGTCAAAGGATTAAAAAAAGCAATACAACACAATATAAGGTCAAAACAAATATATTTTAGATTGCTTATTATTTATGGTTTCTACCCATGCCACTCTTCTATTAGAATTGAGACCAGCCAGGTGTGGTGGCTCATGCCTATAATCCCAGCACTTTGGGAGGCTGAGGTGGAAAGACTGCTTGAGCTCAGGAGTTCAAAACCAGCCTGGGCAACAGCTGACTGACACTTCCTCTTTATTAAAAAAAAATAAGAAGAAGAAGAAGAAAAAATAAATACAAAGAATTGAGAACTAACCCCCCGATAAGATTTATTAAAAATTCCTTCTAAATGACTAAAAGCTTTGCTTTTTCATCAGTATTCTGAGCATCTTTTTCAAATACAAAAGATATAAAACAGGCCTTTCAGAGATCCATATGTACCAAAACTGTATAGCTTCTAGCATCTTTTCCTTTAGAAACTCTATGTGATAATTCAAAACCAAAACCAAAAATCTAGTCAATCAATGATTTGAAGATATTTTATTACTAGCTGTCATAAACAATTTTAAGTGAAGTCTTTGGGTTTCTTGCTCTAGAGAATTCTAACTGAGTTTAAAAGATTTAAAAATCGATGATTGCATTGTTTTTGGATTCAGGAAGGATATACAAACAGTTTAATGAGACTGGAAAGAGGTCCAAAGCAGTTTCAACTGTACCTATAGAACTTCTTGAAAGCATTTGCTAAAGCAAATATGTCAAGACATGAAGACTGATTAATTCAGAATGGGAGTTTGTGTTTGTGTGTGTGTGTGTTTGTGTGCGTGTCTGTGTGTGTGTCTCTGTGTGTATAAGCACGTTCTTTGAAATATTTTAAGGATTTTTCATAATAATTTTTTAAAAATCAACTCATAATTTAATAGGATGTTGCAAATAATCTTCTCATAGAAAATCTTAGAAAATTTCTCTGGAATTAGCGTTACCTTTTCAATAGACAAAATGGGTAAATAAACATTATTTTGGTAAATTTTGTGTATTTGGAATCTTAGGTGATAGAATTTGTTTCCAGACAACCTGGGTCTGATCCTCAATTCCTTACATTCACATTGAATTATTTATATGGTTATTTAATTTTTTTCTGCCTAAGTTTTCCCTTGCATAAAAGACAAATCGTTATAATATCTACTTCACAGTGCTACTGTGAGAATAGCAGAGGAAATGTTTATAAAAATTACCTTCTAAAATATAAAGCCACAGTATTCTAACTGGTTGCCAACAGTATCTAAATATTCTTCATAGTAGTTAAAACAGATTAAGAATTACAGTGTATTATTCCTCAGTGTTGAGCATGGCCCCTTTTTTATCTTAGTATTTATAAAACAATTTCAATGAATAACCATTTATACACATACAGGCAGAAACAAAAACTGCTTTCTTTGTTCAACAAGTACCTACTCACTGGCACTCTTTTTGAAGGCAGAGAGGACTTTAGGTACTTCACATAAAGTAAGTGGTTTTGTATTTCACATTATTTGAGCCTATCAAAAACCACATGCTATAGGAAAGAATGATCTTACTAAATCTATTTCAGATATAGGAAAACAGAAGTGTCGAAAGTTAAGAGACTTGTTTAAAGTAGTGATAGGATCAAGTCTAACAGTCGAGCTTCCACATTTGTGACAAACTACTTTGCTATTATTGTAGCTCTCCTTCTGGCCCACTGTGAAAAGCCATGTTCATACACATGTTTTTAACAGTTATCAAGTTATGGATTAAGAAATATCATCCTATGAGATGCATATTACCAGTATCCCCATTTCATACAAAGGAAAACTGAGGGATAGAGATTAAGTTATTTGCATAAAATCACACAGCTGTTAAGTAACAGTGGCAGGTTTTGAACCCATGTTACCTGCCTGAGGAGCCCGAGTTCCCAACCACGATTTGTGCCACACACATTCAACTGGCATTAGATAACAACAATCTATTTTACTGTATCAGAATATGATTAATTTATCTTTCTTCATAATGATAAAAGATTATCCAATAGCATCTTCTAAATTGACATTTATCCTTCAAAATTTATTTTCAAATCTTCTGATTCATTCAAGAGAAAACAATTTTTTAATGTTTACTGTATTAGTCCATTCTCATGCTGCCAGTGGAGACATACCTGAGACTGGGTAATTTATTAATGAAAGATGTTTGATTGACTCACAGTTCCACATGGCTGGGGAGGCCTCAGGAAACTTACAATCATGGCGGAAGGGGAAGCAAACACTTCTTTCTAAACAAGGCGGCACAGCAAGGAGAAGTGCAGAGTGAAGTGGGGGGGGAAATCCCCCTATAAAACCATAAGGATTATGGGAACTACAATTCAAGATGAGATTTGGTTCGGGACACAGCCAAACCATATCATTTACTTAAAAAAAAAATCATAATCTTTCAAACAAAAATAATGCTCTAGTCTTTTTAATTAAACCCCAATATGATTTTCTAACAATTCTGTATGCATAGTTATACCAATGTCAATTTTAATAATTAGAAAATGCTATTCATCTTTTTCATAAATTTCATACTTTAATTCCACAAAAAATAAAAATATACATAATTTATTATTACAATATATTAATGATTTTGGCATTCTGATCTACAATATAGTTGTTATGCTTTAAATATATTATCACATTTGTATTGAATAAAACCCTGAGCTTTATCCGCCATGAAGTCTATAAAAAAGGAAAATCACAATTGGATTAACCCATGAGTATTTAAGAATTTCCTTGGTAGTTTTTTGATTCGTAATTGTATTCCAACACTTTCACAAGTAAACCGTAGGGATTTTTGCCTCCAGAAACTTTATCTGGCAGCCTAGTATAACTGTGTGGTCTTCCAGAAACAATCGTGTCTCCTTTATTTTTTTAAGCGTATATACAAAGAGAGAGTATATACAAATTAACACTAATTAGCAAGTCAGAAAAGCATGTTTTTCTCCCTAGCTCTTATGAGTGTTCATATATAATTTGCTCCAAAAGAAATTTTAGTAAGTTACAGTACTGCCAGAATTACTTTAATTTGATGGTTTTAACAGGGAAAAAAAGGAATTATGGAAATCCCCTTTGGAATTCAATCACAGAAAGGAAAGATTCAATTACTTGGAAGGTCTTTGGCACTGTGAGATAGATATACAGAAAATGAGAGCCACACTTGGGTCATCATTAACTGTAATACCATATGGCATTTCCTCCTCTGAGCTTCTGCTACCATCTATTTACATAAAATATGAGCTGCAAACCAATAATTACAAACACACATACACACATAAATGAGAGATAACTATGCTGAGTGAAATGTAAACTGACTTTTAATTATTCATTAATAGTAATTTAGAATATTAAGGGGCATGACACAATGTTATCCTCAGGGTCCCTATACACCAGGAATTCACCTCATTTCAGATTAACAACCCAGTATAAAAAGGCCTATTAGGCCCAAATTATATAAATTATTCTTGAACAGAATAGGTCCAATATCAATCTATATGATTCTAAATGCTAATCTACATTCAAGGACTAAATGGCACAAAGTAGAGCGTACATTTACAACAGTACCAAGCACATAGGTGGCATTCGCTAACAAGAGCAGTTACAGAAACATTCTCTCTACTGGCAACTTTTCAGCTACATATGTATTAATTTAAGAGCAAGAACTAATTCGGGATATAGAGAAACACAACCCACTCTCAGTACTTTTAAGTCAAATTGTTGATCATCAAAGATTCTACAATGAGCTTTAAGATCCTTCTCAATCTGTGGCCCTACGCAGCCACTACCAACTGAATGGAGCTGGCAGGCAAGATGGAAGTTATCTGACATTTTATGATCTGTGATCTCATCTTCTCCCAGAAATCAGGATGCTAGTGAATGGCCTCACCCTCCATCCCATTATTTAAGCTAAAAGGTGTATGTCATACTTGAACCTCTCTTTCACATGTAGTCCACATTCAATCCGACAATTGAATTGCCTTTCTAGGCATTGAATCTATCCCATTAGCACTGTCTCTGCCATAGCACATGAATGCAAGTCTGTAATTACCTCCTACCATTCTTTCCTGTCCCCTCTAACCCTTGCTCCTCACTGCAATGAGAGTATTAGTTTTGAAGAGCACATATAATCTTATGACCACCACCATCCCAACACAATCCTGAAACAGCTTTACATTCCTCTTGATCTTGAACACAGACCTTTATCCTTAACAAGACCTTCCAACAGCTGGCCTTCCAGATGTATTCCAGCATAAGACATACTCCTTCCCTCTCCCCCTTGACACTCCAGCCATACTCCTCTCAATCCCAGGCACCCACCCTCCAGGTACTCTCCTAGCACAAAGCCTTAGTTAGGAGCTTTCCTCTTCTCTCTGCTTTGTTAAACATCTACTTTCAGAACTCAGCTACGCTGTCCCAGGACTTCTACTTTACAGATGCCTGTCGTATCCTGCCAACTTGCCATAAGTTTAATTTTACTGACCCTTGAGGACAGGGGCTAAATATGTGGTGGGCTTGTTCATATTATATGAACACCACCTAGTACATGGCCTAGCAATGGTAGATGCTAAACAAATCCTGCTTAAAAGCTAGAATGAATGAATGAAAAAATGAATACATTGATGCAATTATCCATAGTAGATTATTATATCCTTGACAGAGCCAGTGTTACAGAAGAGTTGGCTCCTAATTAAACAGACATATTTTGTATATTATATATAGTATTCTATTCATTTGATACTATTGCATTTGTTCAGTATTGCAGATAAATTACAAATTAACTGCAGTAATAATTACATGTGGGTATGATCAAAATCCCCAAATCTATATTAACAAACTTCCTTAAAATCAAAGTTGAGTAAATTTATATCAACTTTCCATCAATATGTGTTTTATTACATTCATTTAATAATTCCAACAATTACTAAATTTAAAAAAATACAGGAAACTAAGCAACAAAAAGTTCTCTTAAGAGTTTTCAGGACAAAGAATACATAATGTTTCATCTGCTAAAGTAGCACCCTGGCATCCAAAAGTTGTTTTTGCCATATTTTCAATGATAATTTTTAAAAATTACACTTGGTAAATTCAAATGGCTGAAAGAAAACACCTGTAATAAATCTTTCTCATGGAAATCCACACTGAAAATTAGTGGAAGACCCTCCATATTGTAGTCAGATGTGAACACCCCTGTCATGACTCATGACTGCTGCCATTTCAGTATGGTCTGGTGTCAGAATATAGTAGGGACATGAGGGTTCCAGGCCTAGCACAAGCACCAAATTACTGGCAAACACTGTCACTGGAGGCTTGTTGGAGGCTTGTTTCTGCAACTCAAAACCTAAAATGACATCTCTGCCTCAGAGGATTATAGGAAGAAGATGACATAGGTATTTTAGAATTCTTAAAAAATATAATACTATAAAATGTCACCAGAACAATTCTGAGATTTTAGAGTCATTTATGACAAGGCATGCAACCAGATTGCCAACTCTTGTGGCAAAATCAAACCTCTGCATGGTACAACATCCCCAAATTCCACATAATTTAACCAGATGCACTTAAAAATCACTGCATTGCATTGGTGCCACAGTTTTTTGTTCCTATACATTTCTTACAATATATTCTACTGGTCTTAAAGAAGTTTGTACTGAGCAAGCATCATATCTATTCAACTTTCTTTCTGTAGAGTCTAGCTCTTTATGCAAAGACATACTTAATAAAATGCTTGTGAAGAGTCATACAACGAGATAATATTTACTCAAAATAAGACAAATAATATTCTGCACTCATAGCCATAGTAACCTATGATATAAGAAAGTGTGTTAGCCGGGCATGGCGGCTCACGCCAGCACTTTGGGAGACCGACGCGGGCAGATCACCTGAGGTAAGGAGTTCAAGATCAGCCTAGCCAACATGGTGAAACCCCGTCTCTACAAATATAAAAAAATTAGCTGGGCATGATGGCGGGTGACTGTAATCCCAGCTACTAGGGAGGCTGAGGCAGAAGAATCGCTTGAACCCGGGAGGCGGAGGTTGCAGTGAGCCGAGACAGTGCCATTGCACTACAGCCTGGGCGACAGAGTGAGACTCTGTCAAAAAAAAAAAAAAAGAAAAAAAAAAGAAAAAAGAAAAAGAAAAAGAAAACAAAAGAAAAAAAAAAGAAATAGCCTGAAGATCTGAACTTAAATCATCTACACATCCCATTCTAAGCACTAACTAGGTACTTACAATGCCAATATCATATAAGTCATGTGAATTGCAAGTACAACTCAAGACAAACTATATTTTAAAGATATTTAAGAAGGATTTTTAAATGGGTGCATGTATTTTAAAATGTTATGACATTTAAAACAAGTCCACGTCTTACCGATTTTTTAGTAGTAAAAAGAAGAAATAATACATTCTATCAATATATACCTTTGGAAAGAATCAAGCTGTAAAACACTGAAAACTCTTCAATTTTCATAGGTAATAGTGGCTTTAGGGCTTTCAAAGTATAACTTTTTATGGATTAATCATTTGCAATCTTTCAGACTTTGATCATATATTATGAATGTTAAATGTTATAATACCTTTCTTAGTTACATGAATTCAAGCGGCTGTTATTCTATAATTCTAAATACAATTCATTTCTGGCTATGCCTAATTTTACACTTTATGCCTTTTTTCCTTTAACTTAAATATGTTGTTTGGCCAACTTCCAGCTTTGGATTTTTAAGGTTTATATTGGAACAAGTTTCATTCCAATTTGATTTGTGACAGATAACATTGTAAGCTACTTTTCTATATTGCCTCTGAAAAAGAGCTATTTCCATTCCTACACAGTATACAGATTAAGAAAGTTAACATAAGTAATGTACCACTATAATTTGAAAATATTCATCTTGTTCACGTTCTCTAGCTCTTACTAAGAGATTTATAATGCCACTGAAACAAGAATTGATGAATTCATCACTGTCTGGGACATTTTGATCATAATCAATAACATAATTTTACCCTTAAATAGGATTTCAATTAATGCATATTTTTCAAAGCAATTTTCCTTTAAAATAAAATGGGTTTTTGTACCATGAGTTATTAACCCATTAGGTGCCAAAAAGAAAATTATTCTGTCTCTGAAGTTCTACATCAGAAAAAAAAGAAATGAAACCAAACTCTGTTCTATTATACATTTCCCACAGGTACATTTCATAAAAAATTACATTATTATATTTTCATCATGGAAAATGAAAAGTAATATACTTTCGTAAAATGATAGAACCATGAAAGTTTTATTAGATAAAAGTGAGGACACCCAAATGCATTGCTACTGCTTGGACAGAGTATATTTATCAGCAAAGAAAACATTTTCATCTAAACAAAATTTATTTGTCATATCATTATGAAACATCAAGAACAATATTAAAAACCCTGTGAAACTTATGCCAGGCATACAAAATACACTCTATTTTATGATAATCCTCCTATCCTAGCCATTTCATCCATTATTTTCCTGTTCTCACTACTAGAATGTTGAAAGAACACAGATTTCTCTCACACACAATACAAAATAGCTTCCTTCAACAAAAATAACTCAAAATTCAAAAATTATTTTAAATGTATAGTATAATCATTTTATTATAAAGAAGTCACCCTCATTTTTTTAAGCTTCAAAGCATGTCCTCTACTTTACTACTTTCTCAGAAATAAGCCTAAGTATTTTACCCCTTGTTTCAATCACAATTAGCTGGTTCTTGCTAAATGATTCAGTCCAGCTCCTTATGAAAGCATGCAAGAGGCTCACTTCTCACCTTTCCTTATGCAGTGTTCTCTAGTTCTGCCCACTAAATCTGTTTCACCATCACACTGTGTCTTTGTATGCAATTTCCTCTGCATCTTCTCCCCTTCCCATGTAGAAAATGTGAACTGATCCTTCAAAATAAAAAACACACACTATTTTCTCGTAGAGTCTTCTATGACCCCCTTGGATAACTGCTTCCTTCCCTATGATTCCATAGCTATTTATGCAGACCTCTGAGACAGTGTTCAATTTGCATTCTAATTATTTATCTACTTGTTTGTCCTTCCTACAAGAGTAGGAGGCTCCTGGAGGTAGAACTCATTGGTCCTTCTATCACTAGTAACCCTCAAGATTCGGTACCTAAGACATTCAACAAAGTAAAGAGATGGGATGAGTGATTGCTGTCCACATGGTCTGTTCATTGATCTTAAAACCGTCAGCCCCAAAGTAGGGACTTGCCAATTATTTAGAAATGCCTATCTAATCTTTCTACTGTATTCAACTTGTGTAGGAGAGTTCAAGTTCCTGGGCTGGGTACTCAAGATGTTTGATTTTCAAATTAAAGAGATGAAATTTATGACACTAAGAATTCTGGGTGCTGAGCAACAACATTCAACTAAGAAAGAACAAGGGAGGGCCGGGTACGGTGCCTCACATCTGTAATCCTAGCACTTTGGGAGGCTGAGGTGGGCGGATCACCTGAGGTCAGGAGTTCAAGATAAGCCTGACCAACATGGAGAAACCCCGTCTCTACTAAAAATACAAAATTAGCCAGGAGTGGTGGCGCATGCCTGTAGTCCCAGCTACTCAGGAGGCTGAGGCAGGAGAATGGCTTGAACTCAGGAGGCAAAGGTTGCAGTGAGCTGAGATCACGCCATTGCACTCCAGCCTGGGCAACAAGAATGAAACTCTGTCTAAAAAAAAAAGAACAAGGGGTCAGGGAGCAATTGGCCACCACTGACTTCAGTATCTCAAGTTGAGTTAGGAACTTAAAGAACAAGTTTCTAATGTAATTTCTGTAAAAATTCTAATGCCTAAAATGCAGCAGGAAGATACAGAGATTAAAATCAGGTTAAAGCAAAACTATAAAGACAAGTAGTAATGAGGATATACAAGGTGCAAAGACATACAGTTCCCACGGACAATGAGGTTAGTAGGGGTTGGTTTGGGAGACCTGGCGGTGGCCTTATTAGGCAGGGTGGGGAACCCTGAGCACAGAGGTTTCTTTACTAGAAGTAACCAAACAGATTCTAAACTCTGCTCTCTAACACTTGAAGGTTCCTGTGTCCTGGAAATCTTTATTCACCAAACGCAGTTTGTTGCTTTGTTAAATATGACAGGGTTATGGCTGAAGTAATAATCTACGCGTATCTATGTATTTAACATATTCTTTAGTCCCTCACACTTTTCTTGAAGCAGAAAAAAAGGCACAGAGAAACAGTTAAATGTGAGGCAGAAATAATTTTTTCTTTTAAAATTAAATTGTTTATTAAAATATATCGAGGGGATACAAGTGCAGGTTTCTTACATGCGTATACTGTGTGGCGCTGAAGTCTGGGCTTTTGATGTATTCATCACTTGAACAGTGACCACTGTACCCAGTAGGTTTTTCAACCCTCATCCCCTCCCACCTTTTGTATTCCCTAATATCTATTATTCCACTATGTCCATGTGTACATGTTTAGCCCCCATCTGTGAGAACATGCAAGCTTATATATATCTGCAATAAACATATGAATGAAGGTATCTTTTTTTTTTTAATAATTTCTTTCCCTTTGGGTACATATCCAGTAATGGGATTGCTGGATCGAATGATAGTTCTATTTTTAGTTCTTACAGAAATCTCCAAAAAGGACAATCTGAAACCTGAAACGGGGCAACCTGTTTGGAAAACAGCATGGAGATTTTTTTAATGAGGTTACTTTTTTTTTTTTTTCTTGTTGAGTTGTTTGAGTTCCTTGTAGATTCTGGATATTAGCCCTTTGTTGGATGCATAGCTTGCAAATTTTTTTTCCATTCTGTAAGTTGTCTGTTTACACTGTTGATTGTTTCTTTTGCTGAGAAGAAGCTTTTTAGTTTAATTAAGTTCCATTTATCTATTTTTGTTTATGTTGCATTTCATTTTGAAGACATGGTCATAAATTATTTGCCTAAACCCATGTCCAGAAGAGTTTTTCCCAGTTTTTCTTATAGGATTTTAATAGTTTCAGGTCTTACATTTAAATCTTCAATCAACCTTGAGTTAATTTTTGCATATGGTGAAAGGTGTGAGTCCAGTTTTCATCCTTCTGCATATAGCTACCCAATTTTCCCAGCACCATTTATTGAATAGGGTGTCCTTTCTCCAATGTATATCTTTGTCAACTAGGTCAAAGATCCATTGCTTATAGGTATGTGGCTTTATTTCTGGTTTCTCTATCCTGTTCCATTAATCTATGTGTGTATTTTTATACCAGTATGATGCTGTTTTGGTTACTATAGCTTTGTGGTATAATTGAAAGTCAGGTAATGTGATATGAGGTAGGAATGATTCTGTTGCACACTGTAGAGATTTTCTGTTCCAAAGGCTTGGGTTGGGGGAAAGGGAGGCAGAAGAGCGATTGAAGCTGAAGGGAAAGGTGTGAAGGAACCAAGAGCCTTGACAAGATGAAGGCAGGGGGAAGCATCTTGCACTGGGAGAACAAGGGAGCAGAGTAGAACCCGACACCCAGCTGCTCCCAAATATGCCTCCACCCTACAAAACATCAACCCATTGCCTGTGCACAACCCACCAGCCGATGGTCCTACATTCCTTATCAGCTAATTCTTAGCAGAAAGCCTTTTATATATCAGGGATTGCTCAAAAATAGTTCACATGGATTAATTCTTCCAATGCTCACAATAACCCTGTGAGGCAGGCACCATTACTATCTCATTTCACAGAAAAGTGTGGCAGGGAAGAGTTAATATCAAGGCCACAGAGACTGACACTCTTCTAAGCAAGGAGGTGATAACCTGACCACTGTATGTGGGGATGAGCACGTAAGGGGAGATTTTGTGCTACCCAGGAAGAAACTGAACAGGAAAAAAAAAAAAAGGAAATTTCCCTATGAGTTGGGTTAGTTGCAGACATCACTGTAAAGTTTAGTAAAAGCCATCTTGAAACTGCTGCATGTCCAGAGGAAACAATCACAAAACGAAGAGCATTTTAAATATTGTTTTAAAATGTTTTTTAAGACAGGTGTTAAAAATTACTATGATTAGATTAGAACTTGCACTGGTTCCTTGTAGACAGAAAATAAGTGTGTACTTCCAGGAAAAGAGACGACAAGAGGAGTAAAGCAACAAGTTAGATTGGGGATTAAGTGGGCTTCAGTTTCCTCACTTATAAAAAAGAGAAGATAGAATTGAAACAAAACCAAAAACAACTTCTATCTGAAACCTACCCCCAACTCCCAAGTTACATGAAACTAAAAAGAAAAGCCCAGACTTTGGATGGGGAGAATGTAGCTGAATTCAGTTATTTGCTATACTGGTGAAGCCCCACAATACTTTTTTTTTCATTTTATTTTTTGAATTTTTGAATATTTTATTTCCTCTAAAAAAAAAAGGTGGGGGGATATGTGTGCAGAACATGCAGGTATACACGTTCTGGTACATAGGTATATGTGTGCCATGGTGGTTTGCTGCACCTATTGACCTGTCCTCGAAGTTCCTTCCCCTCACCCTCCACCCTGCAACAGGCCCTGGTGTGTGTTGTTACCCTGTGTCCAGGTGTTCTCAATGTTCAACTCCCACCTATGAGTGGGAACATGCAGTGTTTGGTTTTCTCTTCCTGTGTTAGTTTGCTGAGGATGATGGCTTCCAGCTTCATCCATGTCCCTGCAAAGGACACGATTTCATTCTTTTTTATGGCTGCATAGTATTCCATGGTGTATACGTACCGCATTTTCTTTATCCAGTCTATCACTGATAGGTATTTGGGTTGGTTCCATGTCTTTGCTATTGTGAACAGTGCCGCAATAAACATACGTGTACATATGTCTTTATAGCAGAATGATTTATATTCCTTTGGGTATATACCCAGTAATGGGATTGCTGGGTTAAATAGTATTTATGGTTCTAGGTCCTTGAGGAATCACCATACTGTCTTCCACAACGGTCGAACTAATTTACATTCCTACCACCAGTGTAAAAGTGTTCCTATTTCTCCATGGCCTGGCCAGCATCTATTGTTTCCTGACTTTTTAATAATTGCCATTCTGACTGGCGTGGCATGGTATCTCATTGTGGTTTTGATTTGCATTTCTCTGGTGATCAGTGATGTTGAGATTTTTTTCATATGTTTGTTGGCTGTGAAAACTTTTGAGAAGTGTCTGTTCATATCCTTTGCCCACTTTTTGATGCTGTTTTTTTTTCTTGTAAATATGTTTAAGTTCCTTGTAAATTCTGTATATTAGACTTTGTCAGATGGGTATACTGCAAAAATTTTCTCCCATTCTCTAGGTTGCCTGTGCACTCTGATGATAGTTTCTTTTGCTGTGCAGAAGCTCTTTAGTTTAATTAGATCCCATTTGTCAATCTGGCTTTTGTTGCAATTGCTAAAACCACATGATTATCTCAACAGATGCAGAAAAGGCCTTTGATAAAATTCAACATCCCCTCATGTTAAAAACTCTCAATAAACTAGATATCGATGGAACATATCTTAAAATAATAAGAGCTATTTATGACAAACCCACAGCCAGCATCATATTGAATAGGCAAAAGCTGGAAGCATTCCCTTTGACAACCAGTACAAGACAAGGACGCCCCCTCTCACCACTCCTATTCAACATAGTATTGGAAGTTCTGGCCAGGGCAATCAGGCAAGAGAAAGAAATAAAGGGTATTCAAATGGGAAGACAGGAAGTCAAGTTGTCTCTGTTTGCAGATGACATGATTTTATATTTAGAAAACCCCATTATCTCAGCCCAAAAACTTCTTGAACTGATAAGTAACTTCAGCAAAGTCTCAGGATACAAAATCAATGTGCAAAAATCACAAGAATTCCTTTATACTGACAACAGGCAAGCAGAGAGACAAATCATGAATGAACTCCCATTCACAATGGCTACAAAGAGAATAAAATACCTAGGAACACAGCCAACAAGGGATGTGAAGGACCTCTTCAAGGGGAACTACAAATCACTGCTCAGAGAAATAAGATAGGACACAAACAAATGGAAAAATATTCTACCCTCATGGATAGGAACAATCAATATTGTGAAAATGGCCATACTTCCCAAAGTAATTTATAGATTCAATGCTATTCCCATAAAACTGCCATTGACATTCTTCACAGAATTAGAAAAAAACTATTTTAAATTATGGAATCAAAGAAGACCCTGTATAGCCTAGACAATCCTAAGCAAAAGGAACAAAGTTGGAGACATCATGCTACCTGACTTCAAACTATACTACAAGGGTACAGTAACCAAAACAGCACGGTACTGGTACCAAAATAGACATACAGACTAATGGAGCAGAACAGAGACCTCAGAAATAACACCACACATCTATAACCATCTGATCTTCAACAAACCTGACAAAAACAAGCAATGGGAAAAGGATCTCCTATTCAGTAAATGGTGCTGGAAAACTGGCTCGACATATGCGGAAAACTGAAACTGGATCCCTTCCTTACACATCTTATACAAAAATTAATTCGATTGATTAAAGACTTACTTAAATTTAAAACCTCAAACCATAAAAACCCTAGAAGAAAATCTAGGCAATACCATTCAGGACATAGGCATGGGCAAAGACTTTTAATTATTCTCAGTTTATTCTCAATCCAGTTTTAAGATGTCTATAAGAAAAGAGGAGGGAGTAGTTTTTGTTTCTATCATGTGAGATACACTGTGGTTAGAATGCGGCATGCTTTATAAGTCTGAGGATCATTATAATGGTATATAAATAACAATGAGACTAGTGAATAAATATCCTGGATTTTCCACTGATCTGGGGAAAATAAGTAAATCTGCAAAGAAGCTATAATTCCTTGGAAAACAGATGTGAACTAAAATATCATTTTTTAAAAATGGCATTGTATATACAAATGCTCTGCAATTACTTTTAAGAAACAAGTTACAGGACTCAAATTTCCTATCTCCACAGAGCGCTAAGATATTAGTCCTAGGAGAGCGAAATGTCCTGGAAGCCAAGAAAAGCAGAGAAAATAAGAACATAAATTCAGGAGGTGAATTAAGGTTGTTCACATGGAGTAACATTTTATAATGCTTTTATGTCAAAAATAAATTTGAGATTAATCATTTTCCCACAAAAAATGTTGTACAAACTCCCATTTTTAAATTATGTCAAGGTTTAAAAATAGAACACTCATTTTTAGGCTATGTTGGTAATTATGTTAAAGCACTACAGTACTTCAGGAAAATAATTAATACAATGAGGTTTCTTGGTACTATGAGCTACCTTGGTATCTATAACCTGCATATTAAAATTTAACAAGTAAGAGCTTATAACAATCAGAGTTTCAGGACAAGCAAATTGACTAATTCTTGTTTCCATTATAAACAAACATTGAATTTACAAGGTGGAATACAGATGACGTATTCAAATGAGTTTACAAAGTACTTAGGATTATGAATATAAACCTACATTAATAAGAAGACTGAACACATCAGGTTACTGCTAAACTCTAATTACTTACAAATTAATCAAGTACAATAAAGAAAATTATCATTTGAAAGACATTCTTGATAATACTACTAAGAACTGTCAAGCTTCAATTATCCATGCTAATTCAGAAAGCTGGCTAATCCTAAACAGTGGATAATTTAACAATTCTTTCTATTGGCACAGATTATATTTCTGTGCGTGACAAATTTACCTTAGCAATTTGTTTTTCTTAGTTTAATATTAAAAACAAGTCTTGCTTCCTTGCTAGATCAGAATGCAAAGCCAGCCAGAAGATTTTTTACAATTTTAAACGGGTTAATTACCAAGTATATAATCCACATATACAGTATATAAAATCTAAATGCTGTTTAAAATATTTTAGTTAAGCTTTCAACCACATTTAATAAATGCATGTTAAGGTATGTAGATTATGACAAAAATGATAAAAAGGATGCAAATTTTTTTCTATCACTTTGAAAGTCTGTCAAAATTTAAGTCATATAAAGTACCTTGTGAGTTATTATTTCATTTTACAGATAAAACTATAGAACCTTCAAGAAGTTTCATGTGGAGTGACTCCATTATGGTAAGTATATTGGTGTCCTATATATATATTTAAAATATCTATCGCAAACATAGATCTTTTGAGTTCCCTCTTTCTCACTTTTCTAACAGAAAAATATAGCATACACAGGGCATAGTAAAGAACATGGATACTGGAGCTTGAATATCTGGATTGGAATCTCGATTCACCACTTAGAGCTGAGTAAAAATAGGCAAATTATTTAACTTCTTAGAGCCTCAGTTTCTTCATCTATAAGATGGGGTTAATATTAGTACTTATCTCTTAGGGTTGTTATGAAGACTAAATTAAATGATACATGCAAAGCAGTTGGAACAGAACCTGGCACATAGTAAATACTCAATGAATGTTAGGATTTACATAGCATTAATAAGCACAATTACTTATTTTCAAATAGATAACTCATAGACAAGAGAGGAAAAAAATCTATTTTTCTTTAAGAGAAGTGTCATATACATTTCTCAATTTAGCTTATAATTATGTTGATTAAAACAATAACAAAAATATTCTTTGAACCATTAGAGTAATAATTTTCCCCTGGTGTCAAGGTTAAAGTAAGGAAGCAGATATATCCTCAGTAAACTCATCAGAGTATTTCATCAAGATTTTCACAGTTATATTTAGAAAATGAAAAGCTCATAATTGTAAGATTAAAATATGAAACTTTATTATAAAAAGGGCACAGATTTTAAAAGATAAGCAGAGAGATTTACATGAGAAAAGTGCAGTATCACATCTAGTAATAGTCCAACATCTACTTTACCTTGTCATTGTTACTCTCCCGGTGGAATAAACAGAACCATGTCACCTCAGGAGTTAATGCTGGCCAAGTGCCAAAGGCCAGCAATGGCAAGAAAGGCTGTGGACAGAGGACCTGGGCTATGGCTAGAAGAGAATGCCAGAGACGGGGAAAAACTGACAGGGTAAGAGATGAGACGATGAGGACAGAGGTGCTGGGCCAGCAGTTGAAGGAGAGGGGAGGGAGCACCATAAGTGGCTGTGTATGGGGGCGCAGCAGAACCATCCACGGTCAGACCAACACAGTGACAAACAGCCACTCAAGAAGTTCCTAAAGAACTCAAGCGTTGACACAAAAGGATGTGATGAACAGCACTCATTCAGGCTCCCACTGTAGCATCCTGTGGCCTCGATGAGTGGGTGTGGCACCTGGTCATGAGAAGTATCTAATAGGTAGGCCCAGGGACATAAAGTAGGAACAGGAAGGACAGACCTTTCAGCTGTACTTCTTTCCTATATTTAATGGCACCTGCTTTCTAGGCATTTACTTCATTCTGAGAGTGGATGATAATGATGATGGTGGTGGCCCTGGTGGTGGTGGTAACGATGTATCTTGACTTACAATCATGGTTTCCTTCCCATTTTGAGATAGACACAATGATTCCCGTTTGAGAATCTGAAGTACCAAGACCTAGAGAGGTTAAACAATTTGCCTAAATGGCACAATAAGTAACAGGAAAGATTGAGTTTTGAAATCAGTCTCTAAACCTCTAAAATCCACAGTTTTTTTTATTATACCATCTACTATTTCCCAGTATACCTCACCACAGAAAAGCCACCATATCATTGACCTAAAAGCCTGAAACTTCTACTTGTGAAACTTAAAAAGCATGAGGACATCTTTTTTTTTTAAAGGAAACATGTTCTTATGCTCTTCACATCTGAATAGATTAATAGCAACAAATTAGAAGTAAAATGATTATACAGACACAACATAGTTGAAGACATTAAGTGTTGTATCTTCTTGAGTCACGATTGCCCCCATTAAAAACCACTATGTTTTAAAGAGGACTGTTTATTTAGAGATCTGGATGGTAAGCTAAACTTTAGAATTAAGGAATTCAGATTTAACCCTTTGTTACTTGAATACGTTTACATATATATTTTTAAAAGCCCTTCCTAATTCAAGAACGTTACCCCATTTGCAATCTCTTTGCCAGTCTATGCCATGACAAGCCTCATACACAGTTTCCACTTTTATGTATACCAGTGACTTTCTGGATGCCAATAATTCATACTTCCCCAAAACAGATACTTGAGAACATGAATCATCCTAGACTATTAAATTAGGAGTGCACTATCGATTTAAGAATAACTGACATGAGCTAATTTGCAGCTATTCCTCTGGTATTTGGCCCTCAGTTGGCACTACAAAGTTAGAATCCTAAATATTCCAAGGACTGGAATTCCATAATCTCTTACAAATTTCCAATCTTGTAAGAGATTATAGGATTGAGGGATGGCATATTTGGCATCAATAGAATTCAAACGTCTCAAATATTTTCCAAATTGAAAAAGTGTCCACTTAAATACTACACCTGGACAAGAAATTAATAAATCACCAAGGAAAGCAAATATATCACTTTAGAAGCACATTTGCAATTTTTAAGTTAAACTAACAGAAACCAAATTTCCTTCCTTTGTGCTGCTAAACATTTGACAAACCTAAAAGTATCCTTGGTAAAGTGGCTAATAAACTAACAGAATTAAATATCCCTTTTGAGTACAACTGATTACATGTATGCAAGTACACACTCAGAACTCTATCAATTTCAAACTGCTGTGAAAAGTGCTGAATTCCATTCTTTCAGGGAGATAGAAAACATTTATAACAGCAACAGCCCTGCAGTCACATCTTTTTGTAACTAGCTCTAAGAACGAAAAAAATCTTTATGACAATAACAAGAAAATGAATTTTCATTTTAAAAGGCAGTCCCTGTGCCATCACTGGCTGTCCTGCCACCCAGCTCCTCTGAAGGCATTCAGACCCTTCACTGGAATGTCTCAAAAATCAATAGCAATTTATTCTCTCTTTGGACCCCAAGCAACAAAAGTAAATAATACTGTCACCTCCAGTCTGCCTGCAGAACATGGTCACAAAACAGCCTTGCCACTAAAATACAACCTTACGCAGCTCTTTATCTATGCTGGCGCTACTGATTGTATTGGCTTTCGTAGGGGACAAATACTTCAGCAAAGCCACACAAAGAGGTCAAGCTCTTGTACCTCAGCCAGAAAGAATGCTGGGACCTGAATTAAAAAGAAGACTTGCCACCACCTAAGCTTCCTGCTTCAACAATGTGGGTTTTATGGAAGAAAAACAAGAATATTTATTTTCCAAGATTATTAAAACTAAGGGGAAAAATGTAAGATTAAATATACCATATTTACAATTTTTTCCTATAGAATTTAAGAAAATCATCAGATCACTGAAGCAATTGGTTGAACCATAATATTTTGCAGCTAAAATCTATAGGTAGGCAATTTTTATACTGTCTGATAAAAGTATTAATCCATAAGCAAACTACGACTTAAGAATTAAAGTTCTACTTTGATAATGTTTAACCAAGTAGGTGATATCAATACCATTCGATTGTTGAAGACATTATATACACTCTGGAATATATAAAATGGCATTTTGAAGCAACAGAAGGAATACTAGGAATAACCAAGTATAATCTTATCTATTTAGAGAAAAAAGGAAATCAAGCTCTATATGTAACACCAGAAAACCAGTTAATGGAAGAAGCAGGACTACAATCCCGTCTAACATTCTTTTCACTATACTGCTTATTGATGAAAAATTACTTATAGGCATACTAAAGAAGAGTCAGGCCAGGCGTGGTGGCTCATGCCTGTAATCCCAGCACTTTGGGAGGCCGAGGCGGGTGGATCACAAGGTCAGGAGATCGAGACCATCCTGGCCAACATGGTGAAACCTCGTCTCTACTGAAAATACAAAAATTAGCTGGGTGTGGTGGCGCGCGCCTGTAGTCCCAGCTACTCACGAGGCTGAGGCAGAAGAATGGCTTGAACCCGGAAGGCGGAGGATGCAGTGAGCCGAGATTGCGCCACTGCACTCCAGGCTGGCAATAGAGCGAGACTCTGTCTCAAAAAAAAAAAAAAAAAAGAGTCAAAGTCATTTTGATGACAATAAGCCATCATCCCTCAGGGCTACAAATTACTCCTTAAGAGAAAAAGCAAGTACTTTGAAACATTTGTGCAGTAATCAAAAATTCCGAAATCATAGAAGAATTTACCAGTCAATCATACCAGAAGTATTTACTGAATATCTGCTGTGTACTTCTCACTAGTAGGAAATACGAAAAATATACATACATGTTTAGGAAATATTAAAATATTGAATATAAAACTATTAAATAAAATAAAATATTAAATATAAAAACAAAAATATTAAAATATTAAAAATAATCAGATGTCAAATTGTACAGTCAAAGAATAAATGGAAATCAGGCAGGTGCTGAGAGGAGGAGAGAGGGGAGGTAGGTTGGATGAGGGACAGGGAGGAAGACAGGTGACGGAGGCAGACACCAGGGCTGCAGACTGTGAGTGCTGGGAGGTGCTGCGGGGAGGATGGGCCTGGCAGAGCAGTGGTGCCCATGAAGTAAAGTGAAGACAGAGAGTGGGGCCAGACACTGGAAGCTCCAGAAATCAGGCAGAAGGACTTGAACTTAATGTGGTAGAGACTCCAGATAATATAGAATTAACCATTTTAACTTGGCAACATCACTCCTATTGTTTTTTGGCTCACTCCTAGCTCAAAAAAACAAAAAATACACTAAAGATGTTGTCTTATTGGTCAGAAAAATATGACTTAAAAATATAACAATTTTTTGAACCAAAAAGGTGCTTCCTGGAAATTTCATTTAAATAACAAAAAACATACCATTGTGAAAAAACTTCACTCAAAACTTACAGTTTTCTGATAAAATTAATATCATTAAGCTAAGGGAGAAAACAAATCTCTGAATCCCTCATTTTTATTCGGTAACATTAACCACTTTGGCAAAAAAAATAAATGAACACTAGGATTGGGAATTTTGAAAAATCATGTTTAACTTTTGTACTTTAAAGAAGATACAATGAAGTTGATATACTCTATCTTCTATAAAACTATGAGGCATCTAAGGTTAATCATTAAAACTGATTAAATATTATATTTAAAAACAAATACTCATTTATGTTTTTTCAAATTTTAGAAAGTTTGTAAATTCTGTAGTAAACCAAAATTCTTTTCTCTTTATTTTATGCATTCATTATAGAAAGTTTTGGGGGAAAAGTGTGTGTGTGTGTGTGTGTGTGTGTGTGTGTGTATGCATGTGTATAGATATACAGACACACATGAATAATCATGTGAAAACTTATCTGCCAGAGGTCTACTCTAATATTTGTTACAGGCCTCTTTCTGATTTTAAAACAATCTACAGCAGAGATATAAATATTTTACTTATCACTGTCAATACATATCAAATGTCTTGAAATGACTATGTCAAGGTAACACAGTAACTACACTTATAAGAATATATCTTACAGAAAAGATTGTGGATGTGGACAGTGGTCTAGCAACAGGAATGTTCAATGAAATATTGCTGGAAAGATGAAAATGGGAAACAAGTTTAATAGCCAAGAGCAAAGCATTCAATATGTAAGTTATAAACATATTCATACTTTTTCATTTTTATACATATTAAATATAGTCACTGCCCATCCATTTATTTCTCCTATTTTCCTAATTTTGAAAAAGAGTTCCCAGAATATTTGCAAATTAATCTGTAAACACTGAATGATAGTGCCTGCCCTGAAGCCCACATGAGGTGCTTCGAGGCAGAAACGGTGTGTAGCTGGTGCCCAGAACAATGCCCAGAACAGCACCTGCCACAGAGGACACGGTCAACAAGTACTTAACGGAGTGAAAATAAAAAGTTAACTAAGGATTTGTAACTTACACTCACTCACTTTGAAAAAAAACAGAAGCAGTTTACAACAAAGTATGATAAAATGTAGTTTTCTTTTTTAAAACAGGGTCTGGCTTGCAATGGCAGGATCTTGGCTCACTGCAACCTCCACTTCCTGGGCTCACACCGTGCTCCCACTTCAGCCTCCCAAGTAGTTGGAACTACAGGCGCACACCATCATGCCTAGCTAATTTTTGTATTTTTTGTAGAGACAGAGTTTCACCATGTTGCCCAGGCTGATCTCCAACTCCTGAGTTCAAGCGATCCACCCACCTCGGCCTCCTAAAGTGCTGGGATTACAGGCGTGAGCCAACACGCCCAGCCTAGATTTTTTTTAAATGTAAATCAAAGTAAGAGAAAAAACCAAAACATCCAAACCATACAGAGGAAGATGGAAAATAACAGAATCAGGAACCTGAGCTCATGCCAACACTCAATCATACGTTCAAACTTTCTGTCAAGAAAGGCTACAGCAGGACTGCAAGTGTGGCGGAAGGCGGCAGTGTTTAAAATGTAAAACTTCAGATCAAGCCAGCAGGAGTCAAAGCCTGATTTCACCAGTTGTTAGCACTGTAGGACTCTGGAGAAATCAATGACTTTTTCTGGGCCTCCTTTTCCTCCCATACAGAATGGAGCTCTTATGAGAGCATCACCATAGGGTTCTGAGATTGACACCAGCCAATCCGTGCACAGTGCTAGTTGCATGGTGTCAGAACACATTAAGAGCTCAATGTATGCCAAATCTGTTATATTCATCATTACAGCTTTGACTGTATGCAAAAGATACCATTCAGTTCTTCCAAGCTGCATTTATTTCATAGATTCAATATTTATTGAGACTAAATATTTATTTTAAAACTTGGTTGGATGAAGCCCCACCAATGTCTTCAAAAGCCTAACATGGAAATGGAAGAACAGAAATACCAACATATAACAGTGACTCAGGTGACATGCATAGAATAGAGATGTACTCAATGTTCCCTGAAGTAAGAGGAGGAAATGATGGATTA
Organism: Homo sapiens; assembly: GCF_000001405.40. NCBI lineage: Eukaryota > Metazoa > Chordata > Mammalia > Primates > Hominidae > Homo > Homo sapiens. The sequence continues at coordinate 162,674,372 of NC_000006.12, forward strand.
CTGAGGGGTACGGCTGTGGGGCAATATCACATTAAAAGTGATGTAGGAACTAGGACATGAAAGAGGAGTCAGAGTACAACCAAGTAGGGAATAATGGTATTGGAAAGTCATTCCAGGCAGATTGGACAACATAACTAAGGAAACTGAGGCATGGGAGGACACGAGAAGCTGATGGTGGTTGAACACTGTGTGATAGGATGCTCGTGGAACTGTGACAGAAAACAAAATGGCAACATTCTGTTGGGGTCAATTTTTGAAGGCCCTGTTGTGCAATTTGGACTTTAACAAGTAAGCAAAGGAGAGCCAGTTTGGGCTGATAATGACATCAGTGTTTTAGATACTAGGATTATCATGGAAGACAGATTGGATTTAGAGAGTGGGAAGAAAGAATAGAGGCTAAAACATCAATACTCCAGGCAACAACTAATGCTAGGTAATAAATAATACAGACTGGAAACAAGACAAGACAGTCGAGTTGGAAAGAAGGAAACAGATGCCAGCAATATTGCTGAGGGACAGTCAGAAGAATTAGCACACAGGAAAGTCAAAAACGATTTCATGGTTTTGACCTTATATGGCTAGGGCAGTGACAAAATTAATTAAGGATGGTAACATAGAGGAAGCACATTTTGGGGCGGCAGAGAAAGAAGACTTTATTTTATTTATTTATTTATTTATTTATTTATTTATTTATGAAACGGAGTCTGGCTCTGTTGCCCGGCTGGAGTGCAGTGGCGCGATCTTGGCTCACTGCAACCTCTGCCTCCCAGGTTCAAGCGAATTCTCCTGCCTCAGCCTCCAGAGTAGCTGGGATTACAGGCACGCACCACCACACGCCTGGCTAATTTTTGTATTTTTAGTAGAGATAGGGTTTCACAACGTTGGCCAGAATGGTCTCGATCTCTTGACCTCATGATCCCCCCCGCCTCGGCCTCCCAAAGTGCCGGGATTACAGGCATAAACCACCACACCCAGCCCATTTTTAAATAGATTGAATTTGAGGTAGCTCTGGAAAACAAGGAGGTGATGATATTCAACAGAAAGATGGAACTAAGACACAGAAGCTCAGAACGTGGATTGAGAGGTCATCTGTGTAATAGATGACAGGCAAATTTACAACACCAGGGAAAATTTCAAGGGGACAGCATTTGAAGTCAGAAGGAAACCAAAGTAATGACACTTACTCTATCACTAAAAAGTATGATATCTAAAATAACCAGTATGCAGGACTTAAAACAACTACAACCTACACTAAAAGATAGAGAGAAACACTTTAATAAATGTAGAGAGATACTATGTGTCTGGATGGGAAGAATAATTTGTGTAGTCATCAATTCTCTAATTAATCTGTAGATTTAATAAAATTCTAATAAAAAACTGTAATATACTTTTGGGAAGCTTAATGAAATTATTCTAAAGTCATCTGGAAAGAGCATCTGAGAATAACTATTTTTAAAAGAGTAATATGAAAGGCAAAACTGACCTAGCAGATATTAAAACATATTGTAAAAATTCAATAATGGAATACTGACTTATACACAAAAAGATTACTAGGTTAGAAAGTCCAGAAATAGACAAAAGTATGTGTAATTATTCAAAGCATAAAAACCTGCAATTTCAAATCAGCAAGAAAAAAGATAACTTTAATCTTTTAGAGAAGCAACATGATGAGAAAGCTTTTTCTTCTGAGTTGTGTTAAGGATGATGGAGGTCGTCTAAGCTTTTCATACTTAGAGAGGAAGACACTAGTAACAGAAATACAAAAGAAAGTGTTCAGTTATCACAAAGTCAGAAGTAAGGAAGTTGTGGATTCTAGTGAATGTTTACTACTGGAGGGAATCATGGAAGAAACCACCAACCATAATGAAATGATGCCTTCAGAAAGGAAAGCGCCAAGAAGGATGACTTGACAACAATGCTAGAGACAGCTCTTAAGAACAGATGTTTTGATGAGTTTCCATACCCAATTTATTGGAAATATCAAAAAAAAAATAGCAGAGGTGAAAAAAATAAAACTTTATTGTCAGAGATTGGGCTTGCCAAATTTAAGATTTCTGAGTTGTCAGTTCAGAGAAATGGCATAATAAATCAGACTGCAGCAGCAGAAATGTCTGGCCAGGATTTGGGCAGGTCAATAACATAGATTTCTGAAGTTGCCAAAAGAAGTGCCCAAGAATTAAGGCAGATGGGGACAGGGTATTGAATGATAGCTTCCTCCATTACTGTGGAGGCATGACCTGTGGTAAACAGAGGGAGAGAAAAGAAAGAAAGAGATTTAGCTAAATATTTTGAGCTTCAACTAAGGTAAAAAGTTACTGACAACAGAATGTGAGGCTGAGATATGTTTTTATTTTTCTCTCCACAGTGCCTAACACACAGTACACATATTGTAAAAGATTATCTAAGAATGGCTGGACGCGGTGGCTCACGCCTGTCATCCCAGCACTTTGGGAGGCAAGGCAGGTAGATCATTGAGGCCAGGAGTTTGTGAGCAGCCTGGCCAACATGGTGAAACCCCATCTCTACTAAAAATACAAAAGTTAGCTGGGCATGGTGGTGGGTGCCTGTAATCCCAGCTACTTGGGAGGCTGAGGCAGAAGAATCGCTTGAACCCGGGAGGCAGAGGTAGCAGTGGGCAGAGACGGTGCAACTGCACTCCAGCCTGGCCAAGAGAGGAGACAACATCTCAATCAAAAAAAAAAAAAAAAAAAATGACCTAAGAATCAATGCATGTGGTAGGAAATGCTGGAAAAAAAACACTGGAGAACTTAAAGACAACCCCAAATTCTGATCACAGGGCATAGGAGATAAAGCAGAATGAGTAGCAGCCACATGAAGGCATCAAGGTAAGCAGCATCACCAAAAGAAAGCCTGGCTCAGCCAATGACGACAGGTAAAAAGGATTAATAAAAAGACAGACGGGCAAGGGCAGTTCAAGGACCATAACAGCTGAGCTAGTGATGGAAGACTTCCTTTTGCACCTTTCGAATAAAATTATTTCATTATCTCCACAAAGATTCACTTCCAGGTACTTGGTTATTCTGGCCTCCCACCCTCTATATCCATTAGTCCCCACCGTGAAAAGCACTGTGGAGAAAAAAAAAAAAAAAAAAAAAACACTCTTTGCACCTGAAATTATCATATTTAATAGGGAAAAAAATGGAAAATATTTTCCAACTGTTGTTTATTTCTGAATTTCAGATTTTGTTCTCAATTATACTGGCCTGGAACTCTGTCAGAGGTGAATATACTCAGACCCATATGACTGATTTACACTAGAAAGCTAGTCTGTCGATTGCTAGTATGTAATGCAATTGTCAAGCTGACCCACGTTTGTATAATACCTGCATCAACTCAGGAGGTGTTGGCTAGCTTGCAAATTTTCTTTGAAAAAGCGCTTACCTAGGCAAAGGACAACGTATTTTTTGAAAGCTCTATTGAGGTCTGACACACAATAAATCACATATATTTAATGTGTACAATTTGACATATTTGGACATATACATATACCCATAAAACCATTACAACAATCGAGATAATGAGTACATCACCCCCAGTAGATTCTTCCTCCCACTTTGTAATCTCTTCCTTCTGCCTCTCCCTGACATCCTCCCACCCTCCACTCACCCATTTGAATTACAGATTAGTTTGCATTTTCTGGAATTTATACAAGTCAAATCACACAGTTTATATTCTTTTGTCTGGTTTCTTTCCTTCCACACAATGATTTTGAAAATCATTTCATGCTGTTGCATGTATCAATAATTCCCTTTTATTGTTAAATAGTATTCCATTGTATAGTATACACCAATTTGTATAACCATTCACCTGTTGATGGTTATTGGAGTTATTTTCAGTCTTTGTCTATTACAAATAAAGCTGCTATGGATACTTGTATGTGAGTCTTTGCATGAACATATGTTTTCATTTCTTTGGGGTAAATGTCTAAAAGTAGAATGGCTATGTCATAAGGCAGCTGTATATTTCACTATATAAGACACTGCCATACTTTTTCCCAAAGTGGTTTCTCCATTTTCCATTCCCATCTGTCATGTATGAGATTTCCAGTTACTCTGTATCCTCACCCGTACTTGGCATCTTTCAAATTTCAGAATTCTAATAGGTGTATAATAGCATTTCATTGTGGCTTCAACTTACATTTCCCCAATGACTAATAATGTTGGGGGTATCTTTGCATGTGTTTACTTGTCATCTGTATACTATCTTTGGGGAAGTAACTGTTCAGATCTATTGTCTATGTTTTATTGGGTTGTTTTAGTATTTATTGAGTTTTGAGAGTTCTTTAAATAGTCTAAATATAACTCCTTTTATCAGATATGTAATTTGCAAATATGTTTCTCCAAGTCCTGACTTGTCTTTTCATTCTTTTATCAATGTGGTTTTTTACTCGTTTGTTTTTTGAGATGGAGTCTCTCTCCGTCACCCAGGCTAGAATGCAGTGGTGCGATCTTGGCTCACTGCAACCTCTGCCTCCTAAATTCAAGCAATTCTCCTGCCTCAGCCTCCTGAGTAGCTGGGATTAGAGGTGCCCAGCACCATGCTCAGTTAAATTTTTGTATTTTTAGTAGAGACAGGGTTTCACCACGTTGGCCAGGCTGGTCTTGAACTCCTGACCTCAGGTGACCTGCCTGCCTTGGCCTCCCAAAGTGCGGGATTACAGACGTGAGCCACTGTGCCTGGCCTTTATTTATTTATTTATTTATTTATTTATTTATTTATGAATGAATGAGACAGTTTCGCCCTGTTGCCCAGGCTGGAGTGCAATGGTGCAATCTCGCCTCACTGCAACCTCCACCTCCCGGGTTCAAGTGATTCTCCTGCCTCAGCCTCCCGAGCAGCTGGGATTACAGGCACCCTCCAATGTGCCTGGATAATTTTTTTCTGTACTTTTAGTAGAGATGGGATTTCACCATATTGGCCAGGCTGGTCTTGGACTCCTGACCTCAAGTGATCCGCCCACCTCGGCCTCCCAAAATGCTAGAATTACAGGTGTGAGCCAATGCACACAGCAAGGTGTTTTGAAGAGCCGAATTTCTTAGTGTTGATGAAATCCAGTTTATAAATTGTTTTATTTATGAATCCTGCTCTTGGTATTATATCTAAGAAATCTTTGACTATTTCAAGGTCATGAAGATTGTCATTTGGAAGTCTTATAGTTTTAACATTTAAGTCTATTGTTTGAAAAAGGACATTTTTTCTAAATATGTCTTAACTGACATATTACTGACAGAAGTAAGTAACCACACCTATTAATGAAGTTGCAGCATCAGCATCTCAACTATTCTGGGAGACAATGTAGGCCAAATGTTCCCTGATATTATGTTGATAATAACCCCTTCTCAAAAGGGCGAATACTTTACTTCAGTATCAATACCAAGGAAGGAAAAACTGTGGTGTGAGAGTTCTGCTCCCTGGGTGCCCTCTCTATTTTGCCTCTGACCCATGAAACTTTAAAAATGAAGATTATGAGGAAGAACAGGCCAGTGAGGTCAGAGTCATGGGTTAAAGCCTTAGGGTCAGCAGTCTGAGGATCTTCATTTTAAATTTTCCCCTACTGTAACTCCCTTGCTCATTGTTTGGGTATATTTCCTATTCAATGTTAATGTTAAAATATCACTGCCATCTTGTTTTTTCTCTTTTTGTTTCTGATCCTATTTCCTTTCATTAAAATGTTATTTTCTGTTTTCCCAAAATTATTAAATACATATAACACATTTTCTTTTCTTCCTCAAATATTATTAAGTATAGATACATATACACTTAATATATACTTAATTAAGCATATATATACTAAATAATATTTGAGGAAGAAAAGAAATATATGTTTATATGTACTATGTACATGTATGTGTGTATATACAGATACATATATACTTAATATATACTTAATTAAGCATATATACTTAATATTTGAGGAAGAAAATACAGATATATTTATATGTACTGTATGTGTGTGTATATATATATTTAATATTTGAGAAACAAATTAAAAAACATATATACTATATATATGTACACACATACAGGTCATGAGATCAAGATTATTGTCATAGAATCCAAATCTAGCTAGAAAACACAAAATTTAATTCCCACTGCAATTTTAACCCCACAGATGAGCCTTGATAAAGTAATGAGAGAGCAATAAGTAGCTTATCTTTTAGAGGTACCAGATCTGTTTCTAGTCCTAAGGCATTTCAGTAGAATGCTTATTTCAATAAACTCACTTAATGCAAAAGATAAGATCATAAAGGCTTGTAAATCAATTTTTTTTAAAAACTAAAACATAAATTCACTAGTGGAGCTCACTATTTAGGTAATAACTCTATTGAAAACACTTTTATAGAGTAAATAATCACTCCTTCTCATAAATTCAGGTTTACATCTGTAGGCTTTCTTTAAAGCAATCTTCAGTGAATCATTTTCTGACCACTGTGTCCAAAATAATTTTTTAACACTGCACAAAAGGAGATATTTAATATAAACTGTTTTCCGAATTGTCCTTATTATTGTTTTCACAGCAGCCACAATGTGATTAATATTGGAAAAGGCACCATTATATTCAAGCCTCACTTTCAAGTAGATAATATTTTAAAACATAAGACACAAATAAAACAAAGTTATTGCAAAAAGTTGGCAAAATATAGAAAATCTCTCGTTTGGCCTCTCACTTTCACACGTGTTTTTGAAAAAGATTCCAGGAAGACTCCTCTGTGCTCAACAGCACAGAACAGCACATGCACTCTGTTTCCTTTTCTTCATGAAAAATCGTAAGAATGTGGAAGAAAAATAGTTTATTAGCAAAAAATGCAGAAATGTACCAAAGAAAAATTCTTTTGTAGGACTTCTAACTCTATAAGTTATTAAAATAGATACAACTCAGGAAAAATTTATCATGAAATCAAATATGACAGAAATTAAAGAAAACTTAAAGGTGTGTTGGATGCCTGAAGTTGGTGTTGGGTGATGAAATTGAGGCAGGAGAATAGAGTCTGGAGGCAGGGAACCTAAAGCTGTTTCACACTGACTTCCTAAAACTAAATTGAAAGGAAAACCCTAACTTTCCACACCTAAGTAACAAAAGGACCAGAGACTACTCCCTTTGCAAACCCCCACCTTGTCTGCATGGTAGATGGGAAATTTAAAGTTACATAGGAGTGTGACCTTTGTAACTTTTCCCTTCAGCCCCTGATTACTGTCTACAGCCAATCAAAATGATTGTGGGCCAAGCCTTCATTTGCATAGAAGTGCAACTTTGAAACTTTAGCCTCTGATTGATTGCATAAAGCATAAAGCAATCAATCAGATGTTTGCACAGGTGTGTGACCTTTGTAACTTCATTTCAGCCTCTGAATGGTCGTTTTCCAAGGTGAACACCAAGTGGCCAATGGGAAACCTCTAGGGGGTATTTGGACCCAAGAATATTCTCTATTTGGGTCCAAATAGACCCAACTCCCACCCGCTCCCACCCTGTGGAGTGTAATTTTGTTTTCAATAAATCTCTGCTTTTGTTGCTTCATTCTTTCCTTTCTTTGTTTGTGCATTTTGTCCAATTCTTTGCTCAAAATGCCAAGAACCTGGACACTCGCCACTGGTAACAAAATGAATATTTTTATATGTGACAGTATTTTAGAAAATAATGTGACTATACATATTCATATACATATACATAGCCTTAAAATGTTCATACCCTTTGACTCAGTAAATTTTATTTATCTGAATCTACCAGAGATTTTCAAAAACAATCCTAAATTTGGAAGAATTTCAGCCATACAAGTGCATATAGTAGTGCTGTGTTGGATTGCAGCAGTGAAAACATCCCAGCTATGCAACCACAGAGAACTGGTTAAGAAGATATGGTATTATTATATATCCCAAAGGAATATAAATTGTCCTACCATAAAGACACAGGCACTCATAGGTTCATCGTAGCACCCTTCACAATAGCAAAGACATGGAATCAACCTAGATGCCCATCAATGGTAGCCTGGATAAAGAAAATGTGGCACATACTATGGAATATTATGCAGCCATAAAAAAGAATGAAATCATGTCCTTTGAAGCAACATGCATGCAGCTGGAGGCCATTATGTTAAGCAAATTAGTGCAAAAACAGAAAACCAAATACCACATGTTTTCACTTATAAGAGGAAGCTAAACATTGAATACACATAGACACAAAGAGGGGAACAACAGGTACTGGGGCCTACTTGAGGGTGGAGAGTGGGAGGACTGTCAGGACTGAAAAACTACTTATCAGGTACTATGTCCACTACCTGGGTCATGAAATTATTTGTATATCAGATCAACAGGCAATCATGAGTGCACCAAACCAACATGCAATTTACCCATGTAACAAACTGGCACATGTACACCTTGAACCTAAAATAAAAGTTTTAAAAATTAAAAAAGAAGAAAAAAAAGAACATATGGTAGATTCTATTAATTTGGTAGACCATTATGTAGGTAATAAGGGTACATTTGCAAACAGAAGAATCCCAAAATGAAATTTTCAGATACAGAACTATACAAATAAGGTATACAGCTTATATTAAAAATGATTCATAGAATTAAAATGACTGTGAGAATATTCAGTATCACTAAAAATTCAAACAGTAGTTTTATTGGAGCAACGACATTACAATAATTGTTATTTTTACTTTCTTGTATTTTGCAAATGTTATTTAATGAACACGCATTATTATGAATGCAAAACAGCTGCTATTTTTAATAAGAGAGCCAAGAAATACAAATATGTTCATGCTTCTTCAACAGTGAAGCGGGGAGGACTTTATCTTATTCTAGGCCTATGCTGTCCAAAAGAGTAATCACTAACCACAGACGGCTATTTAAAGTAATTAAAATTCAAACTTTAGTTCCTCAGTCATACTAACTACATTTTAAGAGGTCAATTGCCATAGTCTACTAGTATCAGACAGCAGAGAGAACATTTTCATCGTCAGAAAATTCTACTGTGAACGAGCTGTTCTAGATAATTGGCATGGGATCATAGAAGATAACCTACAAGGAAAGGATAATTCATAAGATGCAAGACTCTGTAGTTAGTCTACACTAAACCAGCAACCTTAGTCTATTAAGAAAGCCTGTTCTACAAGATGGACTATGCTATATAAATAAGTGACTCACAGATCATTAGCAAAGTAACTATAAGTCATTAGGTTTTTGGTTAGTTTCCTGGGGATGTTATTTTGGTATCTGATAAATTCATACAAAAATCACGTCTGTTGGAAGTTTATGAATGTAAAAAAACTATAATTACTCTAAGATGGAACAATTCCTCCAACATGCAGCCTTCCTACAGAGTAAACAAATTTGTCTTTGTCTTATAATAATCGGTTGTCTTGAGGAGGCAGAAACAGGAAACAAAAAGACAACTTTGGAAATAATACTTTTTAAAACTTTTTTCTTTTAAAAATTTCTGGGAAAAAAAGGCAAGAAAGAAGAAAGAAATTCATTTGAAAAACTAGCTCTTCAAAAGCAGTACCAAAATCACTTAGGTGGATAAATGTTTAAGAGTGAAAAAACGTACACCTTTCTTTATTTGAGAAAGTAGAATAGTATGAAGAAATAAGAATGCAATTCACCAAGCCATTATTAATGAAGGGCTTATCTACTAGAGTATTTTGTGCAGTTGGTATTCCATTACATATAATACATTTCCCATTAGAATGTTTATTTAATTTTCTTGATTTACCCTCATCATTGTACGAAGATGTTCCAATCCATTTTAAATTAATAGGCTGTCTTCATTTCAAACATGCAGGCTGGATTTTACTGACATAATGTGAACACTACAAAAAGCTGTTTATCTTTGTTGAAGTATGCCAAGATCCTCTGATTTTTTTTTTCCAGTGTTTTCTACCCTTGAGATTTAAAACTGAACTCTTCAGCCAGGAAAATCAAGGCAGCAGAAAGTGTAACTATTAAGATGTAAGTTGCACTTAAAAGTGTTTCAATGCCCCATAGCTTTCCATACAGTTCAAAAATTATGTCTAGTTTTTAAGATTATTAAATGTTACTTAGAGGTGGGAATTTTATCACCACAGCAATTAATATCAGTGGAAAACCCTAATACAGCATAAGTTGAATGACAACCTTTACAATGTATCCATTTAGAGAGGGTGGGAAACTCAGGAAAACAAGCTGAGTATTTGGAGTCAGAAGTTTTAGGCTGATTGTCAATGTTGCTGATTCTCGAAACTTCTGTTTCCTTATCTACAAAATAGAGACACTGAGAATGCATAATACATGGGGTTACTGTTGTCTTCATGGTACAAGTTAGGACACAAGGAGCAGGTTACTTATTTTAAATCTGTTCACTGTTAGTGAGGTAAATTATTCAAAACAAAACCAGAAAAAATGATTATGATTAAAAAACAAATCCCAGCAGGCCAGCCTCCCTTTAAATATATTTAATAATATGACCAAACAGATCTGTAAAATATACAAATAAGGGAATAAGTATTCATTTAACTAAAAGGTGTTGTTAAATAGAACTTCATCGGACCTTTAAAATGTAACTTAAAAGTATAATTTAAGCCTAGTGTTTTTCATAAACATGTTTACGGTGTAAAAAAGAAAATTTGTAATTTATATATATTGCATCTACTGTATTAAGTCTGCAGCAGGACTGGACATGTTCCTAACCATGTACAAACCAGTCACACTGCTTACCAGCTATAGACCTTGGGCAAATTACTTTACACCTCTGAGTATTAATGCTCTAATCTTTAAGATGTTGATGATGAAACCTACTTCATAGTGCTGCTGTGATGACTAAATTATGCCACGAAGCATGTTGCACAGATGTGTACTGCAATAAATCAATGTACGTTTGCAGTCATCTTTACAGCACAGCTGGTCATGAAGACTCTCCTGAGTACATTTTTGACTAGAGATATACTGTGTTTTAAAACTTCTAGTTTTAATAAATTTAACCATTGAGTAGAACTGTGCTACTTCTTCAATATTCAGAAAAGTATATATTTTTCATACAAAAGTAAATATATATATATAACTATTAATTTCACATTAGAAATATGAAAAGCACTCCAATTCCTGGAAAATGTCGTAGTACAAAGGGGAAAAATTAAGATAGATGAAAACCAGAAGTATTCCTCTACACCTTTACCACCGACATTAAAAAGTGAAAAATCAATTCCCTTTTCCTCTGGTATAAGCAGGTAACAAATGGTAAACAGTTTAGCCAGAAAGAAGAAAAGCCAAGGAAATCCACTTACTAAAAGTTAAATTCAGTGACTAAAATTATCTTTCGTATGCTCACCACTACCAAAATCTATATTTCTAGCTATGTTCTTTCCTGAGATCCAGATATATGGACAACTTCCAAGAATCAAACTCAACATTTCTCAAACAGAGCTGAGTATTTTTGGCCAGCAGACCCTCCCCTGCCATAATTTGCCTTCCCTGTTTTTCCCTCTCAGTGGATGTCAAGTGTGAAGGTCAGTCTGCGTGTGTCTCTCTTCGCCCATCATTAACGTGTGCATTCAATATTATAAACACAGGAACCTCTGCTTTGCATGCAATAGAGGGTAAGCAAGCCTGTTTATAGCGAACGTCCATTCTGAAGGGAGAGCGCACAAATTATTAAACAGATAGGACTCCTTTCAAGCCTTTTAAGCACTGTCTGGGTTAGGGATGTGGTGGCTACAGCAACATAAAAAAAAGTTAATTTTAAAATATTAAACATAATACAAAATGGTGACATGATTTTTCTCTAAAATATAGGAAGTGATCAATCAAATGAAAAACTATATTTTAAGTAAAACTTCACCATAAATGTCATGATTTAGCCACAGCTGAAAACTTAAAGGGTCAGATTCTTCCAGCTGACCCTATGGTGCCCAGCTGGCTGAACATTCTGAGAATAATCCAGTGCAGTGGAAACACTGGACATTTAATAAATGATAACTCCTGAGGAAGAACAAGGAAGTCATGTCCACACCAGAGGTGGGTGGTGTAACGGCTGATTTTGGAGGAGAAGTTTTTGTTTTGTTTTGTTTTTCTTTTGTGGGGTGGGGGTTTGTTTTGCTTTGGCTTGAGACAAGGTAGGAAAACCCATTTGGAAGGCTGGAAATTTGATATTTGATATAAGAGTCTGTCTGGCTAGAAAATAAGTTCTTCCAGACATCAAAAAGGAACTAATAAATAATCAGAATAAACAAATATTGGCCATGATATATATTTAAAAGGTAGCCTAGCTAGGCATGATGGCTCGTGCCTGTAATCCTACCACTTTGGGAAGTCAAGCTGGGTAAATCGCTTGCACCCAGGAGTTCAAGACCAACCTGGAAAACAGGTATGTGGAGAAGGACTAACATATACTCCTGAGAACATCTCAGAATACGCAGAGCATGTTTTTGTTAACTTTTTCAAAGATCAGCTGGCACTCCGTAGATATATGGCTTTATTTCTGGGTTCTCTATTCTGTTTCATTGATCTATGTATCTATTTTTATACAAGTACCCTGTTGTTTTAGTTACTGTAGTCTTACAGTATAGTTCGAAGTCAGGAAATGTGATGCCTGCAGCTTTGTTTTTGGTTGTTGTTGTTTTGTTTTGCTTAGGCTTTGCTTTTTTATTTTTTATTTTTTTGGTTCCATATGAATTTTAGGACTGTTTTTTCTAATTCTGTGAAAAATGATGTTGGTATTTTGATAGGAATTGCATTGAATCTGTACACTGCTTTCGGCAGGATGGTCGTTTTAACAATATTAATTCTTCTGATCTATGATTAGAGTTAAAAGAGCCTCTTTTTCTTTTTTTTTTTTTTTGAGACAGAGTTTCACTCTGTCGTCCAGGCTAGAGTGCAGAGGCACGATCTCAGCTCACTGCAAGCTCTGCCTCCTGGGTTCACGCCATTCTCCTGCCTCAGCCTCCCGAGTAGCTGGGACTACAGGTGCTCACCACCACACCCGGCTAATTTTTGTATTTTTAGTGGAGACGGGGTTTCACCATGTTAGCCAGGATGGTCTCGATCTCCTGACCTCGTGATCCACCCGCCTTGGCCTCCCAAAGTGCTGGGATTACCGTCGTAAGCCACCGTGACTGGCCACAAAAGAGTCTTTTATGGAGAAATAGAGAATGGAATAAAGCCAGATAAATTCAATTTACTGCTCATAAATGGCCATGCTTCTTCTTAACATGGTCCCCTTACTGCAGAGGCTATATATCTAAAAATGAGAGAAAAGCAATCACACTGTTGCTTATGAGCAATCTACATGAAATACAAAAATTCCCCTTCTGAAAAATTATAACAATTTGTTATTGAAGATGTGTATGTAAATTTTCCCACCTGTGTTACTTTTTTATACAAGCCAAACCTAGCAGGAATCTCTAATTATCATACCATGAGGATGGCTTAACAAGGGTGTTGCCAGCCCACAAATGCAATTTGATTCTCAGCATGAAGGCAAGACTGGCAATTTACAAACTCCAGCAACAAGTAACTATGAATATTAAGATCTTAATTTACACAATGGAGAACTCATTGCTCTTAGAATAAAAAAAGGAACATTTTGAGGATCCTGTTGCTGGATGTGGAGTAAAAAAAATTATGGTAATGATTCTGACAATTGTTGAAGCACATACATACCTGAATATCAGGGTACTTTTTAGAATTATTCTGCTCACAATGGGGAAATATTTTACTTAAATAAGCAGCCTGAATTTGAAATCAAGTCATAAGGTAAATGTCTCAATTACAAATGGTACTGCTTTATATATGGATAAATCTCATAGACATAACACTGACTGAAAAAAACAGACATAAAACATAATGCATGATTCCATCTATATAACGTTCAAGAACAGACAAAAATAATCTACAGTGATAGATGTCAGATGGTGGTGACTTTCAGTGAGGATATTGATGGGAGGGTGCCTGAGGGAGTCTTCATGACTTAGAAATATTCTACATATTCATCTAGATGGTGAGAACATGGGTGTATACATATGGAATATTATTTAACCTCTACATGTAAGATTTGTACAGTTCAATATTTGTGTGATATACTGCAATAAAAATTTAAAAATAGGTCAATTGTATTAGATAACTAACAAAATTGAAAAACAGATCAATAGTACTAGATAATAAATATACAATAGTCTTTATCTTTCCTAAAACAAAATTTAACTGTTACTTTAGTGAGTACCAAGAGTGCACACATTCAGAAGGTTTTGGAACCCATCTCCTTGTGTAGCACAGCATTACATATTTTACATTTCAACGTGGCTACAACTCCTAATCCTCCTGTCAAGAATCCCACATGAGCCAGGCTATTGATAAAACAATTGCTTCTCCAGTAAAGAGTTTTATTTGCTCTCTCATTGCCTATCAGCTTAATACATAGGAGAATATACTTGAAAAGGATCAAGTTCTATAAACAGGACTAAATGATTATGGAGCAGGCATCTTTATAATTGTGTTTTTACTTTTTTCCCCCCAGTTGTTTCTCAAGGAATACAGCAGAAATTGAACCATAAAGCTTAGCTTGACAGAAAGGCATTAGCCTACCATGCTAAACCAAAGATAGGAGAGACAGTTATTTATGAAGAAACACTGTTCCCTATTATCCTTCTGAGATTCTAAAAAAGGGCTAAATATTGATGCATTTCAAAGTCACCTTTTCCCCCACTTCTTGTATTAACAAGCAGGAGTATGTTTTAGATGCTCCTAATTTGTCAAGATCAGGTGAACAGAACTGTCGTACAGAGCACACTGCTCTCATTCCTACAAGGGCTCTGCAACCCTGTGGGTTATTAATAATTCATCGGTCTTTCTTAGTTCACAACAGGGGCATTACTCAGAGGGCATCATTCTTACTGAAAGAAGTTAACAGCGATGGGCAGATAAACAATGCACAAGTCAAAGAAGAAGAAGCCTCTTATGAATTTGTGAACACTGAAGATCTGTTAAAGAGCTCCAACTACTATAGGAAAAAAAAAACTGCTAGGTATTCTTTACCTAGGCTTCTATTGCCTGTTAGGCTAAATTCAGCCATCTTTAGAATTATATCAGTTGTATTAACACAGAAATTCCTTGAAAATCATTTAACTCTTTTGTGTGTTAACACAGGTTATACTACTGGGTACGATTATGTTGTCTTTATTGAATTAGTTTCTCCAAACTAATCTTTTTGGCAGGAAAATGATGTCTACTTTTGGGTTCCAACAGTATTTATTTATCAAGGAAATACATGAAGCATCCTAATGTCTTAATGATTGAAAACAAGTCTCCAGGAAAAGGAACACCATCCTTTATGGTCCTCCTCAATACACGTAGACCCTCTGGGTGAAATTTAACACAGGTATTCCAAAAAATTTAAATAACAGGGGCAACAGGCTCAGAAGCCTAAAGGCATGAATCACGCAAGAGTGTAAAACAGTAGAGCGAGGCAGAGTCTGCAGCCTGTGACTGCATGCCCTGCTTAAAGAAACTTCAAAAACAAACCAAAAACCAAAACCAAATACTGCTAGGCCAAACATGCCTATGTGGGGTGACCAATTTCAGACCCATAGCATAAATCAGAAGTCTTTATTCTGAATATATGAGGACTCAGAATAGGATGTATTATGTCCTCTAAATAAAAGATATTCATGTGGGTTAAATAAGAGCATTGATTTATTTTCTTGAAGATATATTGTTATTAGAATGTACTCCATTATTTAGAATGTACTCCATTATTTAGAATGTACTCGAATACAAATTAAGCCTCTGATTTCTGAATATCAGTAACGAGTAACCTCGCTTTAGCTAAAAACAGTAACATAAAATTTACTGAGCACTTACTAGGTGCCAAGTACTATTCTAAGCACTCTGCATGCATAAACAGACTTGAAATTCTCACACCGATTCTATGGAGAAACCAAGCAGGCACAGAATGAGAAAGCAATCTGCCCACAAAAACACAGCTAATGAGGCTGCTGTTCAAACTCAAGCAACCTGCTTTCAGAGTCTCTGTTTCCTTGTTTACTGCTCGCTTCCTCTTAGTTAAGAGCACAGCTCATTTACTCCACATGAATGCATCAAGGGAAAGCGGTAGCTTTCACTCATTAGCAAGACTGATATAAAATAAATAGAAACTCACCACCAAAATCACTACATATACTATACCTCCTACCTTAGCTACAAAGCAGAGGAGTTTCAGGGACCAAGAAACAAAAGGCTTGGAGACAATGAGTACAGTTCCTGATAACAGTAGATAATAAATATCACTAGGCTGAGAAAGAGTTAAGAGGTCAAAAAGAGGAAAAGATGATTCTATAACAACATGCCATTTTCCTCTCGTACTAGAAATGGACATCTTCAGAGTCTTTGCTTCCTTTAAGATACTAACTAGGTCAGATCAGATGTTCCTCTTTTTTTCTTTTACTAATGGAATGCCCTAAGACAGAATAAATATAGAAATTAAAGGATCTTTGAAAAACCCTTGGGTTTTTCTTTACTGATAATTTCAAATTTTAAATGCTACAGATTCTATAATTACAGTGACCTCACTCTTGGCACTGAATGTTATGCCTTCATGCTACAGTAAATACCTTTGGTTATGAAGGATATGCTGTCCTAAAAAATGGAATCTTTACTAGTAATGTTGCAATTTTTTATCTGAGGTGTTTCCCATTCATCTTTTTCAAAATAGAATTTCACCAGAATTAAAGTTAACATATTATTTATTCATCATATCTGATAAGCATCCGATGATGATAAGGAATTTTTTTCATAAATACATAAAAATTTCTTTCAACAAATGCCCCTACTATATCTAAATATATAGTTGGAAATGTAAAGCAAAAGCATTTCAATTAGATAATTATAAAAGTAAACACATTTTTTCAATTTATGCACACTTAAAACATAAAATGTTTTAGAACAAAATATTTCAACTAATTTGTTTTAATTAGTTAAAAATACATTACACCATCTCATAGTAGAGACAGCTACATAACATGCTACATAATGGATTAGTGTCAGAAAATGCCAACTTTTTGCATAATTTCAAGAATATATTCCAAAAACACCCCCACTTACCATCAAGATTTCAAAATAATAATAGTCAATATTTATATGTACCTCCCATTCTGTGTCCCACCAATTATCTCATTGGATATCCAAAGAAAAAAAAGGTTCTACATCTCAAGAAGTTTGAATAACCCTTAAAGGATCAAAATGTAGTTTATTTTATGAAAGGCTCTGAGAATTCTTGCTTTGAAAAAATTAACTTTCGGTGAAATATATTGTTTTCCAGTTAATGACATACTTCTCATACTCATGCACGATTCTAATACTTTCATAAACAAATACTTAGAAAAAAGTTCCATCAAATAACCAGTGAGAAATAAATTCAACCTACATCACTAGAGTCAACATGATTCATTGGTTAGAAAGGGAAAGGAAGACATCTCTCTCTTACTGAAGCAGCAGTAGCAGCCTGGGGTAAATCTGTCACGCAAATACGTTGGGCTATTTCAATGTTACTCTTGTTAGATCTTGCTTTTATCAGGCTTTCATGTAAATAGGTAGTAAAATTTTCAAAAAGGCCATGTGTCCATATGCACAGATTAAAAAAAAAAATCTTTTGTTGTGCAGAAGCTCTTTAGTTTAATTAGATCCCATTTGTCAATTTTGTCTTTTGTTGCCATTGCTTTTGGTGTTTTGGACATGAAGTCCTTGCCCATGCCTATGCCTGCACAATGTGCACATGTACCCTAAAACTTAAAGTATAATAAAAAAAAAAGATTAGAAAATTAAAAAAAAAAAAAATCATGGTTGTCCAGACAGTTGAACTGGGATTTCATTTCCCTGTGTATCAAGAGACTTGTGCAGTAAAGGGTTAACTTAGCAGTCTTGAGGTTTTCAAACCACACACATTCTAAAGAAAAGAAAAGATTGGCTCTTGACAAGCTCCTGGGATATAACCTCTAAGTGCTTGGAGTATCCTGCCTAGTAAGAGTTTGCTTTTCTACCTGGGGCCTTGGGCCACACTAGACAGTTTTATGCTAACAATGTGATTTATGGCAAACACCCGTTCTAGTTCACCCAGGGCCCTAGGTCACACTGTATCAGAAGTTTGACTACAGGAGGGGCTGCAGACTGAGTAACTAAAGTTACCCACGTAGGTGTTCCACACCTACAAGACAGACCCCCCCCAACAAAATCCTTGACCACCAAGGCTCAGTGACCCTCCGGGTTGACAATACTCCATGTGTGCTATCACACATCATTGCTGGGAGAATTAGGAACTGTCCACACAAATCCACCAGGACAGGACAACCAGAAACTCATTCCTGGTCTCTCCCTGACTCTGTTCTATGTCCCTTTTACCTTTGTTGATTTGAATCTGTATCATTTTGCTATATTAAGCCATAACTGTGTGTATAATAGCTTTTTATAATAGATTTTATGATTTCTATGAGTCCTTTCAGCAAATCACTGAACCCGAGAGACAAACTAGATTCTTCCCATTGGTATCTAGGATTCAACCAGCCTTATTATCTGACTCCTTGGTCATGACCAGTCTCTGTTCAGACACCTAATATCTATCGAACCCCTTAAGTTAAATCAGCCTCCAGATTTCAGCAGAAATAAATGCACAGAAAAAATAAGCCCATATAATTTGCTGTAGAATGTAAAAAGCAACTTTTGATATTTAGGCCAATTACAGTAATAAACATTAAATAAAAGAGACTGACCAACTGCAAACTGGACTATTTTCAAACTTGTTGCCAATGACTATCCTCTAGGTAAGAGATGAAGGTGCCTCACAAATTCAACTGTATAAGATGTATGTGCCCAGCAGGGTCGTGCCTGAAGTAGCCATCCTGCCTTTCTAACCTATCTTGTCCCATCTATCACCTCACAACATTGGCCACTAATGCTGCATCCTCAGTAGAGATGGGATCGTGACCTACCCAAACATTCATTATAAAGGTGTAAGAATCAAAGAAGCATGTTGTCAGCTCTGCTTTTGGCAATAAAGGAAAGGTTTTTCTCAGGTTTTCCTCTTCACATGGTTTTGGGCTGACAGTGAGCAGTGAGCAAGCTGTACTTAAGAGTTGTCCCTAACAGATGTGAGGGCGGGGACAGCATTGAATACAATCACCATCTCTGATGGCCCCCTCTCTAAATGCATTAAAGGAACTCAAACTGGAAAAGGAGAATTATCCAGCCATTAAATTTCATTCTTTATGAGACACCAATAGCTACCTTTTTTTGCTTTCAAGAAACTTGGGTTATGGGCACAAAGATCCTTCAAAATATTCAAATTATCCATCTTGAATCTCAGACAATTTTTGTGCATAATAAAAGTTCAATTGAAGCCTCTTTTAAAGAGTCACTTGAAGAGGTACATAGTGACTAAAATAATCATTCAAACAGGAGATAAACAGGAATAAGTGAAGCTAATTCAACCTGCACATGCATATTTAACATGATACACATATGTTACAAAGCATACTATAAATATCTCTGTGCCTATTGACCTTGTGCAGCTCTAGGAATAAATGCTGGAGGAATTTGGTACTTAAAATGTTGAAGAGGTCAGGCACGGTGGCTCATGCCTGTAATCCCAACACTTTGGGAGGCCGAGGCGGGCAGATCATGAGGTCAGGAGATCGAGATCATCCTGGCTAACACGGTGAAACCCCGTATCTACTAAAAATACAAAAAATTAGCCAGGCATGGTGGCGGGCACCTGTAGTCCCAGCTATTCGGGAGGCTGAGGCAGGAGAATGGTGTGAATCTGGGAGGCGGAGCTTGCAGTGAGCCGAGATCGTGCCACTGCACTCCAGCCTGGGCAACAGTGAGACAAAAAAAAAAAAAAAAAAAAAGAAGAAATATGGAGTGCTGGTAGACATTTCTGTCAATAGCAGCAATCAGTAGCTTAACCTCTATTGCTTCTCTCATTCTACATGGCAGAGATAGCAGTGATAACTGTGGCAATCCAGCAGAATGCGAGGCCTTCAGAAGCAGAGCTAAATATGAGGAGTAGCACACACAGTATGTGTCTTTATGGCAGCTCTTAGGAAATCTGTCCATTTGCACAGGTGCTCCTAGAGGCAAATGAGCAGACATACCTTGAACCATAGTGACTCTCTTAAGGTTATTCAAAATTAAACTGTGTCACTCCCAAAGAGACATCACAATCCTGGAAGAATTCAGTCACCTGTGACTAACCTGACAACAATTAACATACTTGAAAATTGTATAAAACTCAAATTAAATTTTAATCTTTCATACTTAAGAAAGAATCAGTAACTGATAAAGAACTGTTTAACTCAATTTGAATGTGATTTCATGAAAGGATACATTTTTTAAAGTTATTCATCTGGATCACATATTCAACAGTTAGAGTTTTCCAAAATAATTCCAAAGCAGGTTTCATGCTGACATTTTTAAATCGTAAAAGCTTTAGCACAGTAGGCATTGTCCTTGCCTGGATGTTCTGTGTCGGATCTACATTCGTGTTTATACTGTGCTGCTGAACAAAACTTAGCACCACAATAATTATGTGAATCAAGTTCTAGTCGACTTTGTCAGTATGCTTTTCATCTCTAAAGCTTTGAAGTCAAATCCCAGTAAATGTCAATATGCTCCTATCATGTCCACACCTGTCATCTGCAGCACAAGTCAGTGTGATCTGCAGATAGAAATGAGGAGAAATTGAACATATTTTATGGCTGTTCTGCTTGAGGCAATAAGAATAAAGTAAATCAATACTTCATGTCATTTCCTGAAAATACTGTATTCTCCAAGACATTTAGCCAGCACTTGCCCATTTAACAAGGACAAAAACATAAAAAGAAAGTTTTTAACTCAGAAAATTAGCACATCAATATTTCTGGGTCACAGAAATTCAAGATGTATCATGCATTACTTCAAAATCTCAGTTAAATACACTCTCAAGGTTGGTTGCTCACAGGAAGGGTAAGTATCATTAAGAAAATCTAAAATTTCAGGAATGAAGGCTCATATTTAATATCCTATTATTCCTACTAAAATATTACTAAATTTATAGCCCCATTAAAAAATGTCAAGACATGACTTTCTCTGTAAAATGAGACCTGCAAAAACATTATATATCTTTACTTACATGGTATATTTTTCTAATTTTTCTATCAATTTCTATCATTTTCCATCATTCATTTTTAAAAAACTCTTTATACTTTACTGTTCAACACTATTTCTGACCTTTGGAAATGGATATTTCTTGACTATCTACCCATACTGTATGTACACTTAAGTAGAAGAATGTACAAGTTCAGGGAGCCTCTGCAATAGTCTTTTGTAATTTAAGAAATAATTTCCAAATCTGAGCAAAAATAATTGGGCCTTGGTTGGAAAATGTAAGTTACAAGTATATAACTTAAAGAATATTGAAATCATATTTGGGAAAATAAAAAGTATCAATAGTAAAATATGGTAGAACTCTTAAGTACATAGAGTTTGGAGTCCGAGAAGCTAGAGTCCAAATATTGGCTAACCTCCTATTAACTACTGATCTTGGGGCAGTTTTCACTTCTCTGAGCCGAAGATTCACTGCTTGTACAATGGGAACGCACACAATGTACAGCTGCTCTGAAAAGTAAACGAGCTCTGACTACAGAAAGTGCCTGGAACATGGTACTCAGCAAATGGTATTTTCTTGGAATCCTATAAACAAATTGGTAACAGGAAACATACTAAAAAAGAGAGAGAAAAACAGTGAATACAGGGCAAAAATGAAAATCATTAAAAAGGCAAAAAATGTCCCGGTAGCAATGATTTCTAAGTATCATAAAAGAAAACAACTAGGAAAATATAATTAGAATGCTATATCACTAAAATCCGTTTTTGAGACCAGGATGTTCAATTCGAAATCCTAAGAATGATGTGCTTCCCCCTGCCTGAGAAAGTGCCACGCTCAAGAAAGGAGGAAGGGAAGGAATTCCAGTCCTTCTTTGCTTGTGGGTTTTCTCTTAAAACTTCTGTTTAGAGGAGGTAGGTGTGTTCCTGTCCCCTTGACTTGGCTTCAAGGACTAGAGACAGAAAGTCTACTGGAAAAGCATGTATTTGTTTGTGAGGAAATTAGATACTGGATTCGATACTGGATTCACTACATTGTTTGTTCAAATGATTTGTGTCAGGAAAAACTTTTTTTTTTTTTTCTTTTTTTTGAGATAGGGTCTTACTCTGTCACCCAGGCTGGAGTGCAGTGGTGCAATCTTGGCTCACTGCACTCCCAGGCTCAAGCCATCCTCCCAAGCAGCAGGGACTACAGGTGTGTGCCACCATGCCCAGCTAATTTTTTTAAATCTTTTGTAGAGATGGGGTCTTGCCATGTTGCATAAGCTGGTCTTGAACTCTTGGGCTCGAGGGATCCATCTACCTCGGCCTCCCAAGGTGTTGGGACTAGAGGTATGAGCTACCGCACTTAGCCAGGAAGAACTTTTAAAAAACAAATTGTTAACAAATCCCTGAGGTTACATTACTCATCCATAAATACATCAGCATGTATCTCCAAAAAAGTAAAGTTATTTTTAAGCATACTACAATATAATTAACATATCTATAAATATTAACAATGCTTCCTTAATAGCAAATTAATACTCAAATATATTCCACTGTCTCATAATTTTCTTTACAGTTTATTCAATTCAGACTCCAAATATTTGCTTCCAAATAATCTAGTTGCTGAGGGATAAGAGAGTGGGTAATTGAGGATATAGATGAAAAAGGTCACATATAAGTAAAATTGTTAAAGTTGGATGACTGGTATAACAGAGTTCATTAAGTTATTCTCCCTGCTTCTGTATAACCTTCAAGTTTTCAGTAAGAAAAATGTTTTAAGTTTTCCGTAATAAAAAATTATACAGACATACATCAATGAAAATAAAAAGATAGCAATAAATATAACTCACAGGTTTGAGATTTTTTTAAATGACATTTTAGGTCAAAAAAATGCTGAAACTCAGACCTTCCTAGCCCTGTAGCCTCAATAAACACAAAGTAACTGAGAGTAGAAAGTTAATTTACTTTAGTAAAAAAAGCAAGTTTTAACAGCATCAAAATATGAGTTGAATAATTAATTTTTAAAATCCTGTATTAATGTGTTTATGTCAGGTTCCACCAGATATAGGCATAAAACAAACCAGGTGCTGCCTTTTTTGGAGATTATAGGCTAACAGACTCAGTGCCTGCCTTCTATATATGCTATGGCGTCAAAAGTTGGGAAGCATCTGTTCAAACAATAGTTTAGGATTTTATTGAAGGTCAATTAAGACTTAACTGAGAAATTTTAAAACTATTAAATACATTTATGGAAACAATTTTTGCATATCTAACCATTTTTACATTATCAATAATTTGAAAATACCATTTTTTAGAGCAGGAGTATTTATTAAAAGTAAATATACCTAGGTCTACTTCATTAGTAAAAAAAGTAAATATTCCTAGGTCTACTTCTTAACATATTCAATTGGATAAGCAATGAATAAGGAGTACTGAGTTGAAGAAGTGAAGTCCTATCTAGACCTCAGGAGGTATGGAGAATACAGAAATGACAGAATATACACCACACTAAGCTGCCTTGCCTGTTTCCCTTACAAACAGCAATTAGAGGAGACTCCTTGGGGACTTAACATATTTACTCCTACATATGTTAACTAAAAGCCTATGCTAATGTACAAAGGATGGATCTCCTCCTGCCTGAAGATCTCAGCAGATGTGACAGCAGGTTCTGGAAGAGGATCAGCATACAAAGGCATACGTGTCCACTGGCAGATCCTGCTGGTTGCCTAGTCTATCAATATTGCTTTTCCTTTCCTCCTTGCTAACAGAACCTTGGCATTACTGAGGGTGGCAATGTGCCTAGATTTTAACCACTACACTTCCCAACTTCTTTCACAGCCAGGACTGACCACATGACACAGTCCTTGTTAATGAAATTTAGGTGGGAGTCACTAGGTGGATTGAAAATCCTTTATAAGGGGACAGTCAGGCTGGTTTGCTACTTTTTCCTTTTACCCTTTTCTTCCTCTTTGTCTTCCTCCCTATACCTCTATGTGCTGGCTAGAGCTCAAGCACCATCACATGAGCATGAGGACCCCAAGGATGGTGGCTTGCAAAGTCAAAAGGCTTCATTTTCCTCTTTCCCTGGCTGGAGAGACTGCAAGTTTCTCCCCAGGTGTGTGGACCACAGGTGCTGCAGTTGGCCCCAGGCTAAAAGCTGCAGAGATAAGAACTGACTTCTACAGCTCTCCACCTTTTCTCCTCCATGCCAGTATGCACACCCAACCAGCATCTCTGCTTCTCTTCACAATCCAGTACCTTCAAGTAGTTGTTTTTGTGATATGTCCAGGTTTTTATTTTGGAGGGACATGCATTCCAGTAGAGCCTAAGTCCCTTAGTTTTTAGAAACAAAATTATTTAAATTTCACTACTGAGCCCCAAAGAACTTCTAACATCTAGACTATTAATAAATGGCTTCTTGATCAGAGAGTGATACTCAAAAAGCCAGACCCAACAATAGAGTTCACAGAAACAACAGTCCTTCAACATTTTCTGAAGAGCTCTTCATTTCCATTAAAAGGGTTTTGTTAATCATTTAAAAAATATTGTTAAATTACTGCCATGTGTGACTCATGGATTAGGTGATAGCTGGTACTGGCTTTATATAGCTACAGAAACAGAAACAAGTCTATGGGTGTCTTACATGTCAATATGCTTTAGATCATTTCAGGTAAAGTAATTAAGCAGATACATATTGACTATTTGGTGCCTAACCTTATGGTGATGAGCAAAGTGTGGGGAAGCTATTGAAGAATATGAAATCACTCTTGCCTTTCTATAATCTTATTGAAAAGAAAAAAAGACTAACAAGAAAAAATTAATCCAAATCAATATATAATCAAATGCTGAAATATGGGGAAAAGGCAAGCCAAAAACATCTACCAAATTATGACAAAATATACAAGGCTAAGACTAGATTAACTGAATCCACTCCTCCTAGATATGCTGAAGCTCTGAATAGATAACATCTGGTAAGCTGTGAAACATGAAAAGCATATACAGTTCACTGGAAATCAAAAGAGCTTAAGCTTACTATGTGAGATATAATCAAGAATATGGGTTTTAATCTATGACCCATTGTTTGCCAGGTTCTTTTTAAATTTTTCATTCAAACATCATATATTAAACAAAAGCTAATTTTAAGAATAAAAGTGTCTCCAATATTTTAAGTCTCAATGACTGAAAGAATGGTGAAGCCCTTCTTGGGACTCTGAAGACAATACCCCAAAATATGGTGCTTTGGCATACTGAACCAAAGCAGGAGCCCTAGGGTCTCTGTGACCTTCCTCTCCCGGTCTCTCAATCATCTGTCTCTCCCAAACCAGAGGATGAGGCTGTTCTCTGAAGTTCTCTTGTCTACCTAGAAACCAGACCCACCAAAGAGAAGTACGTTACCTTTGATCTCTTCAGTGAATTTCATTAACAAGAGAAAATTAAAACTCATATCCTAGAGGAAGAGACTGAAAATTAAACACCACACCTAGAACCCTGATGAACTTCATCCCAAAATGAATATTGAATGAATATTCAAGCACTTCACACAAATAATCATTGACGAGCTAACTTCTATCTTCCATGTTCATTAAAATCATTTAGTACACCCCACAAAATTGCCTCATTTCCCTCCTCTCTCCTTTCCCTATGAAGAAGGGTATACAAGCATCTGGACCTCGTTGGGTTATTGGGTAATCATTCTCCTGCAATTGCCCCATGCTTAGGCATGTTAAACAAATTTGTAAGTCTTCTTCTCCCATTAATCTGCTTATTGTCAGTTCATTTTCAGCAAACTTTCAGAGGGTAGAAAAGAAGCTTTGTCCCCATACCATTAATAAATATGAGTAGGAAGAAAATGATCTGAGAAGAAAAGAGATGAGGAGCTATGTTCCGAGCATGCTCAATTTGTGTGAACAGCAAGACAATCCCTCTTGTGCCCACTGTTTATAGTATGATACAGGTGAAGTAGCGAAGGCTTTGATAACACAAACACTTCAACATTCACATCTCAACTCCACCCACTTCTTAGTTGGCCTTCAGCAAGACTATGAGATCTAGCTCCCAAGACTGCAAAATTGGGATCACAATATCAAACTACAGGAATACATTTTGAGAATTCAGTGACATGATTCAGTTAAAACACCTAACCAATAATAGGTATTAAGTGTTAACATCTTTCTTTCTTGTTTCTGCTTGTTCTTTTTGAATGCCAAATCTGATAAGCTTATGAATCTCTACTTCAAATTGACCCATTTCCTAACTATCCTCAACATCATATGCTTATATCTATCGCACATCTTTTACTCCTATTTTCTATTTCTCTCAACTTAAAAAAGCACTATAAAAGCACTTTTATAGTATTAAAAATACTATACATCCTTCAAGATCCAATTCAAGGCCTGTCCTTTTGGTACATAAGCAATCATTTCAATCTGCATTAGGTTTTCCTTTACCTCATGACATACTTTGCTATTAATTAATTTACATACATGTCTTGCCTCCCCAGATAAAACATAAACTTTTATAAAGCAGAATCTGTGTCTAAAATTGGTTTTGTTTGTAAAGGCTCGGCTCTGGACTCCCTCTGAGATCAACAAAAACTTGCTGAATAAAGGAATCAGTGGTGCTGACCATTAAAATCTGAGGACTAATGTCTATTCAGATATACCAGTCAAAGTCAAATTTATGAAATGTGATTTTTGTCTACTGCCAACTGCTAAGAAAACCAAAATTCAATGTGATTATAATTGTAATGAACAACAACAAAAAAGCAGCTGTTGCTTCGGACTAAAAAGCAATGCTTAAAAGAGATAATGTAACGAGGGACTTCTGTAAAAGACCTTAAATAACTATTGCACAAGAAGATAAGAATTAAAATTAAATTAATTAAGATAATCAATTCCACTATTAAAATGGAAATGAACTTTTATCAGAACCGTGGTAGAATCACAAGTAAGATGTTTCAATAGTTAAAAAGTAGTTTTTAAAATTTGAGATGCATTGCAAAAAAAAAAAATTGGCTCATGGGTCAGCACTGGAATTAACCCTATAACAACAGTAATTTACATGAACTATTAATCATTTTAAATGTGATTAAAAAAATACAAGTCCAGCACACCTGTTCACCAATCAAAATACCTAGGGCTTGAGACAATGTAGTAAGACAACCTGTAAAGCTAAGGGTCAACAAGCTTCCAAGATTGGAGCTTTCTTCACTCTCTTTTTTTTTTGACATCAGTGTACAACTAGACTCAACATTCAACATGTCAATTATGTCATCATCACTAATCTTTCAGTATTAGCAAAAGTATAACTTCAAAAACTCATTTCCAATAGGAACACACACACACATTCACATACATACACACACACACACACACTCACATACATACATACACACACACACACACACACACCCCCCCGACAAAATGAAACCAACAGAAGCTCATGAAAGCATATAGGGAATAGTTTCATTTATGAATAAAATGTTTCCCTGTATCTTCTATTAAACCAAGGGTTTTAAAAATCAAATTAAATCAAAATACAAAAAACAATAGTATATTGTTTTTGTAGAACTAAACATCTCCTTTAAATTGATATGTCTTTAAAATAGGAGGTGAAAACTATCGTGACAATTGTTCTACAAGATTAAATTAGGAGAAATAACTTAACCAACATTTTATACATTAACATTTATTTAAAATCTGCATATTAATGAACTTCAAGTATTGCAAACTTGGCAGGATGTTGAAATCAATGTTTTCAGATATCTATCATGATATATTGAGTCTCTGGTTTACTTGACGTTTTTCCTTTAAAAATAATTTTAAGTAGTTAAGCAATGTAATTCCTCTTATTTTCAAAAAAATTCATATTCTACTTCCTTCATAGATGGTCACTGTAAAGAAGTTTAAACTCTAATTAACAGCTAATAATATGCAGATAGCAGATACACACAAAAGCTTCCATTAAACAAAACGGACAAAGAAAACTACCATTTCCTGATTTTCTCCCTCAGCCCTCCCTACCTACTATCTTGATTCTGCAAACAGCAGAATAAATTAAAGTTCCTTTCTTCTACATCAACTCCTTTGTCCTCTCAAGGTTGCCTAATCATATTCATCTCCTAAAATGAAGTAAGAAACATTTCAAAAGCTGTATTCACATTAAATCAACTTTCTGATTCGTGCATTGCAGGAATAAAGCAATGTAATCACATCTTAAATTGGTTTACAGCAGGCTGTCTACCTTATCCTACTTCTCAGGATTGATGAAATGAATAGTTTTAAAATAGCACTTTTTGAAATGACAAGAGAATTAATAGTGCATAATTACCTCAGTGTTGACAAGTGAGAGATGTTTAACTCCTTAAATGAGCTCTCCTAATGAATCAGTGTCAGAGAAAGGCTCCACTGCATGTACATGGTTGATTGATATCTAAGGGGATTGATTTAACCATAAAGGAATACCGAAAGCCAGTTTTTAAAGTTATTTAGGCAAAAAATTAAATGAATCAATTTTTACTTAATATTTGGAATATATTTACTTAAGACTTTACCATAAGCTTTGATAGTATTCTAGGTGTTGATTACTAGGAAAATCTTATTTTACATTGTATGAGTCCACTAAGGAACATTTAACCTTTTAATAGAGTGGCAACAAAAAAAACTTACTTTAGTATTGGACTCCACACTACATAAAAGTGAAAATTAAGCTATTGGATTTAAAAAGTAGTACAGAGAGTTCATTTCTGACATTTATATTTAAAGACTGTAATGAAGACAACTACAATACAATGACGTAAATCTCCATTTTAACGAAAACTTTTAATACATGTAAAATATGTATAAAATATTACCATACCATGTTGAACTTTTAATATTTATATACATTCTCTTTCTAATTCTTGTCAATTAACATGTGATACTGTTCCATTCTATTTTAAATCCTGTGGGTAAAACCAAAACAGATTGATATTTCTAAACACCTGGAATTGAGAAAACTGAACACGGTCTCAGCAGTAGAGCTGTGCAGTTGAAATGTAACACAAGCCGGCTCCAACTTACTCTTCATTTTTCCATGTCTTTCACGTATACCAGCTGCCTAGCTTGAGTGTGTGTCAGGCACGGGGCTAAGAACTTTCTATTTAATTCTGGAGATTCCTAAGAAGTAGATCATACTATCCCCATTTTGTAGATGAGGAAGGCTGTGCACAGGGAGGTTCCTGTCCCACAGTCACAGAGGGTCGTGAGTAGAGCCTGATTATGCACTAAGACAACTGGAATGCATAGTCCACACACACACTGGTTGGCAAATATATTTCCATGTAGATTATCTTTACCGGATTACCACTGTTTTAGCTATCAGTGAAGGTGTTAGATTGTGTTGTTATTCCTTTATCAGTTCAATATATTTGGGAGTCAACTAAATGCTAGTACTTTCCCAGGTGCTGAGACTACAAGCGCATGACAGAGATGAGGCCCTTCTCACGTGGAGACCACAGACAGCATTTGCAGGGAGGGGGATTTGCTTTGTAATTAAGCGCCTTAGCTAAGAGACACAG
Organism: Homo sapiens; assembly: GCF_000001405.40. NCBI lineage: Eukaryota > Metazoa > Chordata > Mammalia > Primates > Hominidae > Homo > Homo sapiens. The sequence continues at coordinate 162,704,034 of NC_000006.12, forward strand.
GTGCAGGAGATGCACAATTTGGACACTTAGACAAACATTCTTGACCTGGTACCCGCTGAGCCTCAGTGAAAGAGTGAGGGTAAAGTGTGAGGACAATGGCAGCCTGAGCTCCCAGCACTAACACAATAGCTGGAGCTGGCCATGCCCTCCACCTGGGCAGCAGGGGACTATACCACCAGGCTCAGGTGGACTGCGGGGGGGTTGTAGGCAGAATGTGCAGCCTGGGAGTGTGGCACTCTATGGGAACGTCTGCCTTAACCTTCCTTTAGGAAGCCAAAGCCTCTGTGCTGGCACTCCTCCCCAGGTACTAACCCTGTCACCTCTCCCCCAGACTCCTTAGAAGATTGAGCACCAGGGATGAAACCAGGTCATCACCAATCAAATTCCTGGCTTCACTGTTCTATCTTGGGTTTCTTTAAAAAATAATTAGATACATGAATGCCTCAGTCTGTTCTATTAGGTGTACTTAAACTATGTGTCAAAGCTCATTGGAATATTTCACTGATGCCTTAAAATGTCTTTAGCAGAAATGCATTTGAGTTGCAAACATGCACCTTAAATGTGACTTCCCAGGGACAATCAGCTAAGAAATTTTAGTTAATGTTACAATTTATAAATATTTGTGAATAAAAATGTGTTCTAAATTAAAAAACCAAGTCTTCATTGACTCGTCTAAGAATTAGGGATGATGAAAACTACTTCTTAAGGAATACTGAATGAGTTATTGTAGCTAGATGGGTCCGGTGGGCTCTAACACACAGCAGGTGTGCCCGAGGATGGTCACATCTGAATCGTGAAACAAATGGACTTCGGATTTTGTTTATATTATAAAAATCTACAAGAAAAACAGTATTTTTCTTAATCAGTTTTAAACTAAGTCAAATAATTTTGCTGCATTTACCAAGTGTGTAGAGATTTATATTTTAAAAATATAAGAAGTGTAGCTTCAATGGTAAACATGTATTTTATATATTACTTCGTAGGTAATGTTCCTTTGCTTTTTTAAAAAAAATTGCTATCCTTAGCTCAGAAATAAAAAATGTTAAAATAGTAAGAGACTTTAGTAATAACTACTAAAAACTGGCTCTTCCAACTTTCCAATATCTATGATGGAAACCCTTCACACCTGCCTGATGTGTCAGACAGACACAAATTGGTTGTTTGAGGGGTCAGACCCTTTCTTAGACTGCCTCTCCCCTCCTCACCCCTTAAAGTGATACCCTTGAAAATCCCCTTTACTGTTTCAGAAGAACACTGTTTTAGAAGCAGCTATACCACCACATCATTTACACTCACAATGCCATAGATGTAAATGTGAGACCTCAGGGCCAGGCCAAATACTCCGGGCCTGAAATCCTACTCTTTCCATCAATATGCCCTTAATCAAGAGGAATCTGGTAGAGCTTCTGTGAGAATACAAGTTCTTAAGTGTAAAATCTAGATGTCCCATTAAGCAAACGATACCAGTCAAGGAACTGGCTTTTTTGAGCTCTTCCTAAAAATAATGAGATTTGGAGGACAGCCATCAGTCATGGAAAGACATCAAACACTGCATGAAGACCTCTTGAAACCTGGTTCCACAAGAAAACTAGAAATTAAAATAATGCATTTAATAGCTCATAAAGTTTACAAGATTCTTATCTGCTCTGCAAGACAGAAAGAATCAAATGATTTTCTTGGCCAGGGAGAATTCAGGTTCAATTTTTAAGCCCCTATTCTGTAACCCTCAGTCAGCCCTGTAGGAAGGTAATTATCAGGGCTAGAGGGATAGTTCCTGCTGTTTCCTATAAGTAAACTCAGGAGCTAAATTAAGGTACTTAGAGGTAAACTCTCAGGGTGTGCAGAGCTTGGCTGTTTGACTCCCGTGGATTCTGGAGCAAAGCACTAAACACTTCTATTTATTCAGAGAGCAGGTAGAGAATAGGGCAGCAGAAACACGGCTTTCTCAGACACCTCCGCCAGCCCCTGCTAATCAACGGGAGTCACACAGCTCACAATCTCTTGCTATGGTTTTAAAATGCAACTTTTAATGTTATTTCATTGTGGTGTCCTTGTACTGAAAAGCATTTATTATGTAGTTTCAAATTTACCTGAAGGTTAAAAAAAAAAAAAAAAAAGACCACAGCAGGAAAGCTGCCATTGTGAGAAAGAAGGACATAAAATTCAAGCAATGAATTAAAGAGGCAAATGAAGGAACTCTTTTCCTCTATTAGAAATAGAAGAAACAGATTGTGCTCGTCTTGCTTAGGGCCAACAGGCGCACTGCATGGAACTCAGCCAGCTTCAGTCACAAAGCTCACTTAGGAGTTCTGGTCTGTGAAAAGAGGAAACCAGATGGGCTATTTACTTTCAACAAGATAATTCTGGAGGAAATTGTTATATGTCAAAGAAACTTTTTAGCTTCATCTGCTATTTTAGCCTCTAAACTGATTCAGGAAGCAGAGGGGAGGGTTCTGTTAGGAAAGAAATAAGAGAATTGGGGAAATAAAAGCAAGCGCAGTGCAAAAGGCTGGGCGGCCATGTCGTCCAAGTGCATAAGCTTCCTGGACTCATATCCTCACTCTAACCTTGGACAAGCGATCTGACCTCTTGGTGCTTCAGTTTCCTCCTGGGTAACATGGGGACCACAATAGTGTCACTAGAGGTTGTAAAGATTAAGTGGTATAAATATCAGTACTTAAAATACAACACACACATGAGCACTCAATAACCATCAGGCATTGTTTTTATCTATTTCATTTTCTCTTCTATTTGCAAAACATAAAGGGAATGTATCATAGATATAGATCAATGACTAAACAATTCTTAAGAAGACACTAACAGCTAAATGTTATATTGGTCTACTGATTATATTGACCATATACCACTGATGGAATTTGTTTGAAAACAACTTCTCTTTTGTTTGGCTACCACAAAAAGTAAAATAATCCAGATAATTTTATTCTTGGATCAAAAATTTCAAAGAGATTTTCTTACCTCAAAATTAAGAAAGATAGCTTTTAAGAAAAGTAGCTGTAGAGTGAATATAGAAAAGTTAATTAAATTCTAAGTTAAATTTCTAATACATATAAAGGATGCTTTCTAATGAGAAAAAAGCAGAGTTTCCCCAGCAAATTGTAAATAACTTGGACCAAAATCAAGATAATTCTTATATGAATATACTGTGGAAAAGGTATCTAGCAACCTCATTTTTAGGATGTACAATATCTAAATATTAGTTATTAAGCAAAAACTGAAAGTATTCAAATTAAGTTATGTGACCATTAGGCATCCAACTTAACCTACTTTTATTTTACACTTGTACTATTGCTAAATAATAACTGATGATTCCAAGAGAATAAACAATACTCTCAGAACAGAGTAATACAAAATATGTTCAGTCTACTGTATTTACCATGGCAGGAAAAAGGACACACATTGTTAGAAGGATTATTCAGCATGAAGGACTAAAATAAAAAATAGTTGCCTGGTTATCTTTGTATTGATTTTAAAAATTTCACAAATATTCTATTTCATTGTCACATTAGAGAAACAGCATCACTATTTTTTTTTTTTTTTTCCGAGACACAGTCTGGCTGTCACCCAGGCTGCAGTGCAGTGGCACGATCTCAGTTCACTGCAACCTCCAACTCCCGGGTTCAAGTGATTCTCACGCCTCAGCCTCCTGAGTAGCTGGGACTACAGGTGCAAGCCACCACGCCTGGCTAATTTTTATATTTTTAGTAGAGATGGGGTTTCACCATGTTGGCCAAGCTGGTCTCGATCAAACTCCTGGCCTCAAGTGATCCACCTTGCCTTGGCTTCCCAAAGTGCTGGGATTATAGGCATAAGCCACCATACCTGGCTAATATTTGTATTTTTAGTAGAGACAGGGCTTCACCATGTTGGCCAAGTTGGTCTCACACTCCTGGCCTCAAGTGATCTGCCCACCTTGGCCTCCCAAAGTGCTGGGATTACAGGCATGAATCTGCCACCACTGGATTTTCACTTTTTTGTGTAACACATTTTCTTTCTGTAAGGGGAAAATAAACAAATAATTCATTAATTTAATTTTCAAAATTTATTTATGGCTCTGATAAACATAAAAGCCAACAGCATATTTTAAAGCTATTTTGAAAATATAAAAAGAATGGTTACTATGTTTGATTTTTCATATGGCTAGTGACTCAATCCAGCTGTGCCCCAAGAAAACTGAATGAATGTTGATGATAAAAATATCTGAAAACTGTATGAGAAACCACATAGACATATATGCTAGGAACTTACAGATTTTATGTCCCAATTAAGGCCTGTGAATAAACGGAGATGAGTATTCAAGATAATAGAAGTAGAAATCATATCTTTGTCTTAATTACCATTTATAAAGTTAATATAAAATAAAATTTCCCTAAGTATTGCAGAAAAGCAAACATAGCAAGACAATTTTACATTGTCAATAAACTGGAAATGGGCAGGAAAGCTGCTTCCTTTGAAACAACCTAACACGGCTTTCATGACACTGATTCTTAACAGTGATGAAACATTAAATGAAACATGAAATTGATTAGCCTCTTTCTCTTCTATACTCCAAATTTTCTCCCACTTTGAAAATATCTATTATTTCACTAACTCAAAGGCCAAAAATCTAATAGCGTTTGTTACTCATTTTCGACCACTGGCCTAACCCCATTCCAGGCACCTTCAGAAATAACACTGCCTTTCTGCCCTGACATAGAGTCAGAGACCTAAAGAGCCTTGTTGGGAGAGCAGTCTTCCCTGGGCCTACATATCTTACTGCAGGGGCCCCCAAGCCGCAGGCCATAGGGGTCCGTGGCCTGTTAGGAACTGGGCCACACAGCAGGAGGTGAGTGGTGGGCAAGCGGAGCCAGTAAACCTTCCTCTGTATTTACAGGTGCTCCCTATCACTTGCCTTACCACCTGAGCTCCACCTCCTGTCTGATCAGCAGAGGTATTAGATTCTCACCGGAGCGTGAACCCTATTGTGAACTCTGCATGTGAGGGATCTAGGCTGCAGGCTCCTTATGAGAATCTAATGCCTGATGATCTGTCACTGTCTCCCATCACCTCCAGATGGGACTGTCCAGTTACAGCAAAATAAACTCAGGGGCCCCACTGATTCTACACTATGGCGAATTGTTATTTCATTGTAATATATAATTATTTCATTATATATTACAATGTAATAAAGGGCACAATAAAGGTAACGCACTTGAATTACACTTGAAACCACCCTCCTCGCCCTGATCCATGGAAAAATTGTCTTATGAAACCGATCCCTGGTGCCAAAAAGGTTGGAGACTACTGTCTTACTGGGTATGCCAAGACATCAAGGGTCTGAACACTTTTTTTTTTTTTTTTAATAACCTGGGCTACTTCTCAGGTTGCTTTCGCAGGTGAGAGATGAGGCAACCTCTCCCCTTGGACAAACAGCAGACTGACTTACTGCTTGTTATAAAAGCAGTGAATTCCCCAAACTCAGAGTTCCTTAGTTGCAATGCAAACTCACTCATTCATAGCATCCATCCGGACCATAGGAATTGAAAGCAAGGGCAATTGATGCCAATATGCTGGTGCTCATGCTGCTTATTGTGCCAAGGGTAATAAAACGTTTTCTTTCTGACCCGGAAGTCTCATGTCTTCTGCCAGTAACCATGAAACAGTAACTGGCTAAAATGTATGAGAAACGATACACATACCATTAGCTTCCAAATAGGGTAAGATGATATCTCAGACCTGACAGTTTTGGTGAAGGAACATAGCTATCTGGAGAAGGAAGGAAAAGTGTCCAGAGATTGGGTCCAGGAATATAAAAAAATCTCCCTGGAATCTGAGAGCGAATGCTCTTGCCTAGGAGGTGGACAGTGGGGTGTGGTGGGTGGGAATAAGGGTCCCTACTGTCCTGTGTGCTAATGAGGCTAAGAGAGGCAAGATTGAAATGAGTATGTAAACGGAACCGTGGATATTGCTCACTCATTCTCCTCCACGGGTTGGGGTGTTATCATGACAAGGGGGCAGCAAGAAAGACAATGTGGGTGTGGCTGCTGAGCCAGGGGTCCTCAAAGCTGACACAGTGTCTCAATAATAATGACCTTTTTACCTGATATAGGTCTTTGTGCGGACCATCAACTTTAGAAGTCTGGTTAAGCCTCACATAGGCTGCTGCTTGAAAGCCACAGTAAATGTGCCTTGTTGATTAACACGGAGCTGCTGTCCCTCTCATACTACCTGATCCCTCCCTTCCCTCTATTCTGAACTCAGCTGCTTTAAGGAGAAGGATGACTGGGCTGGGTTTAAGATCTCCCTATCCCCAGGGGACAGAAAGCCCCTGGCACCCCCTACAAACACACACACACACACACACACACACACACACACACACACAACTGTTTGGTATGATGAGGAAGAAAGGAACTCAACTGTTATGAGTCCAAGTTCCCATTCTTCCTGGCCCATGGAAGAAAGGCACACTGAACTCTACTAATGGGGTTTAGTGCTTCCCAGTGGGAAAGGGGAGGTGAACTAGCCTTGTAAAGGTGCCCTCTGGGCTTATTCAATGTGGTGTTGTGGTAGCAGCTCCCATATTCAATTCTATAATAAGAACTGATGTATTACACATTTGCACGGCCTAATCCCTGAAGTGTCAGAAGGGCTTTTCATGTTCCAGAACTGCTGCAGAGGCCCCTGCCCACTATAATAGCATCACCTGTTTGATGGAGCTACAAAGTACTTTAAAAAAAAACAAAAAAGCAGCTGTTATCCTGCAACTAAGCTCTTGTGGAGAAAAATGAACAGCTGAAATCCCATTTTCAGGTGAATCTCCCTAAAGAGGTGGGAAGGGCCTAAGAGGCCTTCCTGGTCAAATGGAAATGGTATATTCAAGGGCACAGTGCATCCAGCCCTAGCATCACCCAGTATTAAATGAAAATAATGGCAGCTACTTCTTTGGAGGAACCATATCCCCCACTCCACTACTGGAAACAGAGCTGCTGGTTCAAGAAGGCTCTCAGAGGTTCCCATCACGGATGGCCTGGTTCACTGACAGTTTGATGAAGCTAAAAGCCGATGGTGGTCTCTGACCAGCAGCAGCCAAAAGGACCAGTCAGCACATTTCTCTGTATGAGAGCTCTGACCCTTGTCAGACAATGCTCCTAAAGACCAGGCATTTCATATTTTACAGACTCTTGGACTGCTGTAAATGACTTGTCTGCTTTGCCATTTGGAAGACTACAGACTGGCAGATTAAAGAGCCCCTCTGTAGGACTACACATTTTGAAAACAAATCTTGGCTGCTGATTGGTCTGAGTGTCACTGATACAGATGCCTGCAGTAAGTGCTTATTCTCTGATGAGACCAACTGGAATCAAGCTGTTGGTCAAAACTGCTATTTAAAAAAAAAAAAAAACCAGGAAAAGTCATGTGGACATGGCTGGCCCTGAACTATTCCGCTGTGCCGATGCCACCAACAGCATCTCCCAAACGTGGCCCTTCCCCTCAGACCTGTGCAAACACAGATTGCTTCAACACTGTTCCAACCTGACATACAAATTCATAGGCTTCTCCTGCCTCCCAAGCAGCCGTAGCTAATGCCATGTTTAGCAATCTAGATTGCAGCAACTCAGTGACACTATGTGGCTTAATCAAACCAGTGTAATGCTGATTCCAATCAAGTGTAGCAACAAATTCCAAACTAGAGTGGCCTGTGCTCTCTATATGGGGGAAAGTAGGCCACAGAATGTCTCTCCATTAGGCATGAGGGTTGCTTTCTGAAACAGCTATTATCATTGACAATGAGACCCAAGAGGGGCAAGTCATTGCAAACTTTCTTGCGCAGATCATATTAGGTAGCAGACTTGTCTTGCACCGTCTGAATTAAGACCTACTGGTCTCCCTCTGGGATTTATTCATAGTAGGCTGAATCAGAGATTCTGGTCGGGGAAGGCAGAGAGACTGGATGAAGTCAATACTGCAGGTTGGCTTCATCCTGCTGCTTAGGATTTTATTGATTGTTGCCCTAATTAAATGCTGGTATGAGACAAGTTGACTAGTTTGGTTCCAACCTCTGTTGGTCCGATTAATCAGAGTGACTACAGGTGGCCTATTCATGTAAAAATTTACCAAAAGCCAAGATGGGGATGGATAGAGACAGTTTTCCTTGGTCTTCTTATACTCCCTGCATGTCTTGTTGGGATACCAAGACTGCATTGTCCTGACTGCTCTTTTACCTGGGCCATTTCTCAAGACTGCATTGTCCTGACTGCTCTTTTACCTGGGCCACTTCTCAGGACTGTTTATACATCTGATAACCTTAAATAATGAAGTAATGTCTAACCCCAGACAAAGAGCATAGGTACTGCTTGCTATAAAAATGGAAGATTCCCTAAGCTCAGCAGTCATCATCTGCAATGCAAACCTACTGCATGCACAGCATCCATCTGGGCTGTATCACATCACCCCGTGAGATTCAGGGGCAAAGGAACTAGAGTAAATATCATGACGCTTATACAACTTGCCATACTATGAGTAATAAAGCCCCTTAATCTCTGACCCATGTCTCATATCTTTTGCCAGTCTCCATGATATAAACAGGCTAACTCATTAGTTTGTAAGTAGGGTAAAAAGCAAAGCCCAGATCCAACATGTTTATCTCTGGCTTGCACCACATAGGGCATATGATAGAAACCTAGTTAAGACAATCATCCCCATACTTAATGTCCAAACATGAAGTTACATAGCTGTCCTAAAGTTGAACCTGTCTTCTGAGATTATTTCATGGAAGCAAGAGAAAACTATTAACATATGAATGTAAAAACCAGGGTCACTTCCCCATTTTCCAGGCCTAACAAACTTATGAAACCTCCACATAAAACTAGGGTTACTCACTTCAGTTCCGGTTCCTCCAGAGTAAAACCCCTCTGAAGGGGCACTATTACCACCACTTCACCACACTAGAGTGTGGAGGAGAAATACTAAGTATATGAGATGCTGTAATATTATAGTTTGAACGGAAGGGTGATTTGAGATGTGAAAGAAAGTGAATAAGAAGTGCTACTAGACATGGGCAATATACTTTTTAAATTCCAAACTTGATTTCAAAAAGTAGAATCAATCAGTCAAATAAACAAAAAACCTACCTTCAAGGAGGTGGAAGAATGGCAAGAAACTGGTATTTATAAAATTAGGTCTCTTTGGCCAGGCTCACGCCTGTAATCCCAGCACTTTGGGAGACCGAGGCGGGCGGATCACGAGGTCAGAAGATCAAGACCATCCTGGCTAACACAGTGAAACCCCGTCTCTATTAAAAATACAAAAAATTAGCCACGCGTGCTGGCGGGCGCCTGTAGTCCCAGCTACTCGGGAGGCTGAGGCAGGAGAATGGCGTGAACCCAGGAGGTGGAGCTTGCAATGAGCCAAGATCGCGCCACCGCACTCCAGCCTGGGCAACAGAGTGAGACTCCACCTCAAAAAAAAAAAAAAAAAAAAAATTAGGTCTCTTTTGCTACAAGGGAGGGAAGGCAGAAAAAGTATGCCAGATTCAGGGAATAAAAAGTGTTAAGAAATATCATAGTGTTATATCCCATTATCAAAAATCCTACAATTAGGGTTCAAAATTCACCTTCAGAAATTTAATAAAAAGACTCAAATGTCACCAAGTGCTTTATGTATGATTATTGGCAAAATATTTGTCTGTTAGCTATACTTATACTGTTTTGTAAAAGCAAAAAAAAAGAACTTAAAAGACAGGATGAAATAACCATTCAGAAGCAGAATTATAGAAGCTAATTATTAAAATAACTCAGCATTATATCCAGACCTCTAGCTGAGCAGATATCAAAGGCAAATCAGTAAATATTCTAAAATGACTGCTCTGTAATGTATATGATTAAAACAAACTGTGCTAAAAATTAAGAAAATTCACATTGCTTCAGAAATTTCACATTCACTTGTCTCCGTAATTCAATAAAAATAAAATAAATGGTTTTTCAGAACAGCCACCATCAGGAATGTGACGTTTGATCATTTCTCCGCCCTGCTGTGAGCAATGAGGTAAAGGTAGATTTTTTATTCACACCACTCTGCATCCTCATGGGTAAGTGAGGCTGTCGGCATGTCCCGTGACTTAATTATGTGGTGGCCCTGCTGGAGGTGTGCTTGCTTACCGTAAACAGACGCAAATATCTCAAAACTACCCCTGATTTACAAGAAAAACGTTCAAGTTTAAGCCAGTCTTTAACACAAAAGAACATCTTTAGAACAATTGTGAAAAAAATCAGACTTCCTTCTTTGCTTTGCGTCACGGGGCCTTTGTCTAACCAGGGGCTGAGGAGATGCAGGGACACTGGTGACAGGGAGGGAGGGGCCCTGAGAGCAGGCACTGAAACAAACCTGCTCTTCCCATTTTTTAAAAAACCCTTCGGAATAATTTAAATGAGCTCCCACCCAAATTAAATTGCCTTGAGGTTTTCCCTCCAAGGCTTTTGGCATTATAAATACCCCCTGACTTTGGCCTGCCATGTTTCCTCCATCAATCACGGAGTAGCCTAGAATTAAATTGAAATGATTGGATCAAGAAAAATCAAATGTTTTAACATTTAGTTTCAGTAATGTGATTACGAACCTTTTAGTGATATTGTAATTACTCTGAAGCTTTGAGCATATGTTTCTACTGAGAGCATTTCATGGAGAAAAGCTGCATTAGGGAAACAAGTAAATACAGACCCCAATGAAGCAAAAGTGCATTTGTTGTAAAGTTAAAAGCTAAAGGTGGAAAAGAGACAAAGCATCTACGTAATTTACACCCTAAACCTGCTGCATAGAGTAACCACTTTTAAAAATCTCTACTTCTTCCAAAATTCAAATAATTTAAGCACTTCCCTCTAAGGGCAAGCATTAAGGAAGCAGTAAGAAGAAACAACAGTAAAGGACAAGGGAAAAAAAGAAGAAAGGAAAAAGTCATCGTCCTTGTGCTAGGTATTTGCATGGAAAAGATGACAGACAAAGCTCTCTCTCTTAAAATTAATGAACCATCTCCTCAGATACTTAATTTTCACCAAAGTCAAGGCATATAGTTACTTCCCCTATTTGTTAATTTTTTTCTCCCATCTCAACACCTGATGGGATTCTGCTAGGCTAGGAGCCCCAAAGATAAATGAAGTGGGGCCCCACCCCAAAGGTTAATATCAAAAGAGACTGGATTCCTCAAGGGACATGGAAGAAGACAAACCGGAGGCAAGGACAAAGGTCTTCTCTCCTTTGAATCACACTTTCATTTAGGCAACAATTATTTATTAAGTATGAGCACGCTTATTCCCTCAAGAATAAGGCAGGTAAGTAAAGATACACTATAAAGATGGAATGAAATTCGGTTTTTAAAGTTTAGAGGAAAATAACTCTGTCAAGACAGTCTGAAGTACACAAACCTTTTGAAGGGTTTGTTTCTTCTGATTATATTAAAGTACAGCTAATTGCCCTAATAGTTTAAAGATCCTAAGTGGGAAGCTGTGTAATAGCTCCAAGTGCTTAATTTGGCTACTGGCAATTTTATTTTATATTTCAAATTTGAATTCACATCTCACTTTCAGCGACAAGACACAGCCACTTCCTACTGCCTTAGAGTTCCTAGCATTAAGATTGAGCGGTTCCTCATTACTCAGAGCAAAACCTGAATTCTCCAGTATGGCATGGAAAACTGCACTGAGCTGGTCCTGACACCCTAATCTATCATCACCTCCCACTCCATGCTCCCTGTACTCCATCCCGTCAACTACTCATCCTTCCCAACACAGCCTCTGCTAACAAGCCTGCCATCTTGCTGGGGCCAGCCTCTCTGTTTCAAACGCGCTTTCTTTCTTGGCCTGCTCAGGAGTCCAGTCTGTTGTTAAGATCCAGCTCAAATAAATTCCACCTCTGCTGAAGGTTCCCCTGCTTTATCACACAATGAAGCGTACCTCCATGATAACATCTATTATTGTCAATGGTTACTTTCCATGTGTACACAGCATCTTCACTAACTGTGACTTCCTCATTTAGATACGCACGCCTAGTGCCTATCATAAATCCTATAATTTAAGGTGTCAATAAATATTTGCCGAATTTAACATTTTCTTTTTTCAGCAAAAAATAAATGTTTTCTTCTTTAAAAACCAAATTCTGCATTCATCTATTTAAAAAATTTATTCCATATTAGAGTTTCTCCTAACTGTACTAACAATGTATAAGGGAATATTTTCCAAATGTTTCTGTTAAAACTGCCTCAAGAAACCAAATTCTATGCTGACATCTGTGAGAAATTACAAGATTTCGCTCTTTCGTCCTTCTCAACTTAATAATTTAAAATTCTAACTGTATAATTTTCAACCAACCCATATTAGTTATTATTTACAAAGGACAGGACAATGTTAAACTATTCCAGGGAGCATGAAGTGTCTAACGCTCATAGGGAACTGTCAAATCAGAAAGCAATATACACATAATGGTTATTTGCTTCCACTTTGCCTGATCATCTGTTATGTGAAGTGGTATCTCCTGTCCAAAGCATAACAAAACTTCCCCTTCTCTACAGGATACAAATTAGCAACCTGGTACATATCAAATTACCCAGCTGCAATGCACTATGGGAGTCCAGGAGAATATTCACACCTTCTTTTGCCACCTGAGAAAACTACCTTGAAAAGTGAGTTATGTCCTTGGCTAGCTTCATCAACTAGTCCATACACCCTACCCGCCTGCGCGCGCGCGCACGCACACACACACGCGCACACACACACACACACACACAGACTCCTCATGTGTAACACTACTGCATTACCTTTAAGTGACCTCACAATAGGCAAAAATCAAGTTGTAGCTCTCTGTCATTCTTCCTTCATAAGGAAGTACCTAACCATACGTTCAAATGGTGAAGCATTACTGGTAACTGTGGTGGCTGAATAATGCCTCCTTGTCCCTGAAACCTACGACTGTTTCCCGATATGACAAAAGGGACTTTGCAGATGTGATTAAGGATCTGGAGACGAAGAGGCTATCCTGGTGGCTCCTGAATGTAACCCCATGTGTTCTTTTAAGAGGAAGGCAGAGCAAGATTTGATGGCAGTAAAGGAGAAGGCAATGTGACCACAGCAGCAGAGACTGGAGTGATGTGGCCAGGAGCCAAGGAATGCCAGCAGCCTCCAGAAGTGAAAGAGGAGTCTCCACAGGAGCTTCTATTAATGGAAGGGGCTAGCCCAGCGAACACCTTGATTTTAGTCCCTTTTAGTCACTTTGGGGCTGGGCACAGTGGCTCACACCTGTAATCTGACAACTTTGGGAGACTGAGGTGGGAAGATGACTTGAGCCCAAGAGTTCAAGACTAGTCTGGGCAACATAGCAAGATCCTGTCTCTACAAAAAATAAAAAATAAAAAAATTAGCCAGGCAGGTTGGCATGCACCTATAGTCCCAGCTATTCGGGAAGTTGAGCCCAGGAATTCAAGGTTGCAGTGAGCTGTGTTTGTGCCACTGCACTCCAGTCTGAGTGACAGAGGGAGATCTTGTCTCAAAAAAAAAAAAAAAAAAAAGTCATTTTGGACTTTGGGCCTCCAGAACTGTAAGAAAATAAATTTGTGTTTAAAAGTCACTAAACTTGTGGTAATTCGTTACAGCAACAACAGGAACTACACAAAAACTAATACAGTAATCTGGCCATGCCCCGATAGTGTATAATATTAAAGAAAGTGAAATTATGGTTCTAATGTTTGTTTTCCTGAAAACACTACTTTTATGACCAGAACATGAGCATAGTATGCTACCATTGAAAATTTATCTGACATAATTTGACACAAAAGTAGAATCCGTTTTAAATGTATTACCACAATGCATTTGTCCTGAAGATTGTGTTTATAACACATTGCTTTTCAGTATTTCCAAAACATTATACGCTTAACGCTGAAGATCTGAAAAACACAATCATAATAAAAGAAAACATCCCACAACCCAAAGATATAATTTGCCGGTATACTTCCTGATATTTTTACATATACAAATGGCCCCTAATGCTATCTAGTTTCCAGTTATGGTAACTAAATGGTCACATTAACACTTTTTAAAAAAGATCTTTCCCAATTATTAAGAACTCACACATATTTGTCCATCTTAGATCACTTAATCATCCTATCATCACTGTTTTAAGACAAAAAAAATCTTATTACTTCTAGGAACTTCATCTCAAATAGCATCCCCATCCCCTCTCTGACTGACTTTACCTGTATAACTTGCATTCTATTAAGCATAAGATGATTAAATTGGCTGCAAAAGCCAGAAGGGACTTTTAATGAATTTACACACTAAGAATTGTGACAACTATGTCTTGATCCAATATGAAAGTTTCTTAGATGTTGAATCTCCATTAAAAATTATTCCAGAGGCCAGGCGCGGTGGCTCATGCCTGTAATCTCAGCACTTTGGGAGGCCGAGACAGGTGGATCACGAGGTCAGGAGATCGAGACCATCCTGACTAACACGGTGATACCCCGTCTATACTAAAAATACAAAAAAAATTAGCTGGGCATGGTGGCAGGCGCCTGTAGTCCCAGCTACTCGGGAGGCTGAGGCAGGAGAATGGCGTGAACCTGGGAGGCGGAGCTTACAGTGAGCCGCGATCACGCCACTGCACTCCAGCCTGGGCAACACAGCAAGACTCCGTCTCAAAAAAAAAAAAATTTATTCCAGAACTGTCCCCCACAAAACAAAATAGAGTTCTAAAATGGGCAACAATGCCCAGAAATTGCCAGAACATAAAAAACAAGCACAGAGACTTGGTATAAAACTCAAGACACTGAGAATAAGATTATTTGGTGACTTCTTTGAAATCAAGATGATATAAAAGTCAATACCTATGTCAGAAGCTCTGCATGTAGTGAGACACGGCAGATGCCACACACACATACACACACACACACACGAGAAAGGGACAATGAATAATGGAGAAAACTCTAGAGAGGGACAAAAGGAAGAAATTCCAATTCCAATCATAGGTTGAGCATCTCACAGATTCCTAAATGAACAAGAGTGGAAAGCCCACAACAGATCTCTACGAAATATCACTCTCTGTATCATATGATTATGTCTAAATTGACTGCCCAATAAAACACATATACTTCCCATCTGATCCTATGAATTCAGACATATTCATGTAAAAACGTCTTTATATATTGTCACATGTAATTATACAAATTTGGTGAATATCAACTGGATCATGCAGTCTACATTTGTCTGTGGTCAGGAGCCCAGAGAAGCAGCACCTCAGAGAACATGACCTCACTTGTGCTTAAATCTGTACCTCTCACACTCTGGGAACTCACCAGAGAGCTATAAAGGACTTTCAGGAGAAAGGAGGTCGAATTTCAAGGGTGGAGAGAAGACCCAGGGCACAGGGAATATTATTCTTAAATCTGTCTAATTCTCCAAGGAGCAAACCTAACTTGCCCCCATCCTCTAGCTGCCCAGAGTTCATCATTCCTCAATTTTGTTTCAATGGAAAAAAAAAATTGTAATCAGGACTGGATTTGCCTGGAAGGAAAATGCAGAGCCAGAGACTACAAAGATTTCCATTGCAGACAATTCCCAATCTAGGGAATGTCTCCAGTAGGAGCTGTGGTGAAGCCTGGTCTGTTCCGGTCAGGCCACTCCTGTGATAACCCTCAGAAACATTACAACCCACAGTCAAGCCCTGTGGCAACAAGTAAGGAAGAAATTCACCTGTTGTTCAGACAACAGCTGCTCCTTTGAGCTGAAGAATGAAATATTAAATTCCAGCTTCTGAGAAAATCAAGGAATGTGGGTAAGAAAAAAATGAGGGGACAGAAAAGAGGGAGTGCAGGTAGATGTCAAAAAAAAAAAAAAAAAAAAAAAAACTAAAGGTTGACCTCAGAAACACAGATATTACAAATGTTCCTTCCTATTTCTCCATTTTATTAATACGAGCAAGTTTCAGGTGTCTACTTCCTATCATTTCATGATCTGGAAAATGGATCTACTCTGCGGGTACAATAAGCTTTAAAAATGACTACGCAGTTACAGAGGGCTTCATCACAAGATCTTATTTATGCACTGAAACTCCAAAAATATCTCACAATAGGAGTAACTGGCGTATTCAACAATTATGTAAATAAATAATAAAAAGTCTCAATCAGGACACCAATATTAACTCCCTAATCACCAATTTTCCCCCTCATTTGATGAGGGTAGGAGTAGAGATGTGCAAAATGGGTGAGGCTGCTAACTATTGAACATTCTCTCCTCCAAAGTTAAGGGCTCTCATGTGAAACTTTATGGGGGCCTCTGTTCAGGTCTTACAGTAAAAGTAAATTGGAGAGAATCATCAAGAAGCCATCAATACTCTTAAAAATACACACATCTGTCCATAGATGGTCTTTTTTTTTTTTTTTTTTTTTTTGAGACGGAGTCTCGCTCTGTCGCCCAGGCCGGACTGCGGACTGCAGTGGCGCAATCTCGGCTCACTGCAAGCTCCGCTTCCCGGGTTCACGCCATTCTCCTGCCTCAGCCTCCCGAGTAGCTGGGACTACAGGCGCCCGCCACCGCGCCCGGCTAATTTTTTGTATTTTTAGTAGAGACGGGGTTTCACCTTGTTAGCCAGGATGGTCTCGATCTCCTGACCTCATGATCCACCCGCCTCGGCCTCCCAAGGTGCTGGGATTACAGGCGTGAGCCACCGCGCCCGGCCCATAGATGGTCTTAATATGTGCCTAGGTATATGAGTCATGCAGATATCTAAGAGGAAGAAACTATTCTGCACTATTCTGGGTGACACGATATCCACAGCTCTGATGACATTGTTCTCTCCACACAGAGAAGAAACTATAAATAGAACCCTAAGCATCATGTTCCACATATCAAAGAAGGAGATACAAACTATTTTTGGAATACAAATAAAGCTTTAGTAACATGAAATAAAACACCTGTCAATAAGAGACATTAATCTATTCTACAAAAATAAGAACTTTTTAAAAAGAAATATGGCCTTTAATCAGAGATGATGTAATGACATATCAAATCAATGTCAACACCCTGAGAAAAGCCATCTCCTACTGCACAATTACCCTGCCATTCTCAGTCGAAGACTGTCCTCTATTAAACATTATCTGGACTTCTTTCCTTTGTTTTATGGAGTGAGTTTATAAACGCTTGTTCTCCGTAACTAGTGATTTCAAGTATTCTGTTTTATCTAAGAAGTACAATGAAGGTCATGAGAAGTCCTCTATTAACACTTTATCTGGACTTGCTGGCACTAGTGTAACTATTTTCTACAACGTTCTATTTCATAACTTTCTAGTACTGCCACAGACATCTTTCTAAAATACAACCTGTTCATAATGCTCTTTTGTAGATAATGGTTCAGTGACTCCTCCCTATCGCCAACTTTAAACCTACCTCCTTGACAAAGCTTATCTGGTGTGCCTGCAGCCTCACCAGATACCTTTCATTCTATTCTCTTCTCTCCCCTCCATGCCTGTCTAGAAGGCCGCCTTCACCTAGTTAACTCCTACTTGTCCTGCAGGAAAACTGGAATGGCTCCACTGGGAAACAGCTGGATCTTCCAAGCTCTATAGGCTGAGTTTTCCAGTACTTCCTTGTATAAACCTATATTATGATACCCACCTTTCAGGTTTGTAAATCTTTACTTTTCTGTACCCCTTCTAGACTATGAACAAGGACCTGATGAAGGGTAGTTACTAAAATGTTGGCTGACTCTAAAGGAGGTGCTAATTGCCTCACACTAAAAAGAGGGTAAGAGGTGACATGGAAAATTTCACATAAAGTTGGTGCCATTGGAACTGGATCTTGAGTGATGAACAGTAGTTTTGAGATGTTCAACAGAAAGAAAGGGCATTCAGATCAACGAGAATCAAATGAACAAAAGAAACATGAAAAATCACGTGTTGCAGGCATGTATGTGTGTGCTGATATGTACATACATCTTTCTAATTACTCTTCTTCTGTGGTGGTGAAGGTGCAATCTATACCACCAATATAAGCCTAATCAGCCCAACTAGGCCACAAACTTATTGGGAAGAAATGGTCATTTCTATGTACCTTCCCCACAGGCAATATATAGACAAATACAACCTATGTGTACCCATCCCTACCCAGCACCATCTAATACATATGGTATAAAGAAATGACACTGAAATAATAATCATAAATACCTATTCATTCAAGGAAAAAAGGTTTCTATTTGGTGAAAAACAGACATTTGAGTTAATCTGTTAAGAGTCCTAGGTAATTAGGAAATTACTGGGGGAAAAGAATCCTATTACTGTAATTCCTTTTAACCAAGATTCTATGCTACAGGATGAAGTAAATAAGCCAGGGAGGTGAGCTGCAACATAAATCAGCCGACTGTCACATGAGTCTCTTTAATATTACAAAATTGAGGGAGAGAAACCATTCAGATTACTACGAAGAAACATTTAAAATGAGCTCATTAAATGCAAATTAAAACAGAAACATTGAATAAGCACTGGGCTACAATTAAAGGCTGCAGAAACAGCAGGTAAGAAACAATTTTCATTGATCAAAGAACTAATAGCTAACAGAATAAAGTATTTTGCATTAAAACTGCTTTCATGAATATGAAGCATTTCGAAGTAAGAACTCTTTTTTTTGCATTTTTCAAAGAAACTTTGGAGGTAGGAATGGATTTACATATCTTAATACAAAGTACTTTCATTGTATCATTTTCAGGCAATGAAACTATGAGGTTTCAAAAAATGCAGACTTCAAAAACATCCTCAGAAATAGGGCCAAAATTGTAAAGGGCAAAGGGTCATTTTAGAGCCTTTGGACCCAAGGAAGAACTATTATATAATTACATAAAATCTTCTATGCAAAACTTTAGTAGAGCCTATTTTTGACACAATTTTACCTCATTATAAACAGAAGCTTTGGGGTACTTAGGCATAGAGCTGGTTTTCATCAACTTATCAAAATGGCAGGGCAAAGAGCAGTACACAGTATATTCAACTAGAAATATAAATTGAGACTTTAAAATTCACTGCACACAAGCTTGAAAACAAATATGCAGATGTGTAGCCAAATGGTGAAGTCGGAATATACATTCCTGATGGCAAGGGACTTTTTCTGTTGTGTTCCCTCGTTTCCCTGGCACCTAGAGCAGTTAAGGGTACATAGCAGGTGCTGGAATCACTGGATCTGCTTTTGCAAAACTAACGCACTATAAGATGAGAATGAGAAGTTTTCTTCTAAATTAATTTGAAAAGTTAAAAGATACTGTTTTTCATCTGTCAAGACGGCAAAAATAAAAAATCTTCGATGGCACATGGGAGGAAATGGGCACTCTTATACACACTGAAAGGGAGGGCAGGGCCACCAAGGACAGTTGTGCAGCTTGTACACTGAAAGGCACTACCCCTAGGGTGAGAGAGAGGTGGGGGACCGGAGATCCAGGAGGCGTTCTGCTAGTGAAAGCTGAGTCAGTCTCAGGAAGGACGTCTTTTGGCAATTTTCAGCCCAGAGGGGCAGGGCAGCTCTTTACTACCATGTTGTATTAGTGGAGGCTTTAGATAGGCTTGTAAAATTGGGCAACTTATTTTGGAAAAATTTTGAAATACCTAGGAAAATGTAAAATCTACAAACTCTTTAACTCAAATTGTCATACGATTTTTATTTTACATCTATGCTTACATGTGCAAGTAAAAAGATATGGCCACAAACACTTCTGACAACAGTTGTCTGTAAACCTAATGAGTGCTTATTTATTGGTAAATATTTTCATAATTAGTGTATCCTATAAAAGACTAGGCAGGAATCGCTGTGGAGTGGATCTGGACATGCAGATATGTAAATTCTCAAAGAGATGCTAAGTGAAACAAGGTATAGAAGAGACTATGTTCCAATGAATGGTTTTTGTCAATCAAAAATCTTCTTAAAAGTCTAAGACACTGAATGTGTATTTCAATACTGACAACATTGTTGTATATATAACCATGCACTCTAATATCTGCTGTTACTCAAATACCTAAATCCAGTTCTACAGAACATTTAGAACATACCACAAATATCCCCACTAACATTCCATTTTAAACACAAAGAATTGCTCATTTTTAAAAAAGTCAAAATATATTTTTAATAGAGGTACCAAAAATTACATTTTTCTAAATTGAATTCTTTTAAGCTTTTCTATTCTGCTTTATATCATCTTGAAGTCCTTCTCCACACTTTCCACAAAGGCACAATTTTTAACCGACTTCAATTAAATTATGTTTCTGTAGCTGCCTGGGTCAGGGCATTCAACACATCAATCACAATGCAGGTGGGAAATGTAAGTACTTTTGAAACAGTCCTCATGCCAATAAGGGAATCTTCGGTTTTGAGAAAGTAAAAGGAAGGTACATGTCATTAGCAGTGAGGTCACAGTCAGTCCTGTTTACTCCTATTCTACCAGGAAACCCATCTTTACGTTTCTCCTTAAACTAAGCCAGGATTTAAATAAAGTGGCAGAATATTATTCGCAGTAAGGTTGAGGCGGGAAATTAAAGAACAATAAAATTAAAAAGAAAGAGAAATAAGTTTTCCTGTTTTAGGCTAACTTGTTCCAGAAGCAGCAACAGGCACAGCCTAGACCCAGGAAAAGTCTTGATAATATTATCTAATATGCTCTGGAGACTCTCTCAGCACTCCCTCAACACAGGGAGAAGAAAAACAAATTTTCCTTTGTTTTACAGAATGAGTTTATAGACTCTTGTTCTCTGTAACTAGTGATTTCAAGTATTCTGTTTTATCTAAGTAGTACAACGAAGGTCATAAAAAGCCTGAGTAGGCCTGAACTACAGCTGCCTGGGCACCACAGAGAAGGTTATAGGATAAGCCTGTGCCCAGGCAAACCTAGAAAACGAACATCTGGGTTGCTTGGCAATGGTCATCTGCAATCCTGTCTTTGTCCTGCCTCTGTATCCCTGCTTTCACGCCACTGTAAGCTTGCTTCAAGCTAGCCCACCTCCGTTTGTGAAGTGTGTATAAAAGTCAAGTACTGTCTTTATTCTGGGCCCAGTCTTTTGGATGTGAGTCAGCTGGGCCTGAGTACACTCAATAAAGATTCTCCTGCTTCAACCTGAGGTCTCCCTCATACTCCCGAATCCCGCAACAAGGTGAGTGTAATAGTTAGAGAAAGCATAGGCCTGAAAGGAGCAAGCTTTGAGAAGCACTCTTACCTTTAACAGAAAATCCCAGATACATACTATTTACATTTTAGTGATCACTGGATAAAGTCTATAATGTCTTTCCTGGCTCTGAATTTTTGTCACAAAAACACAAAACCCATCACTCCAAGGCTTCCTTTTAATGGTTTTCACTTTCACCTACCTTTAGCACTGTTCACGACACCCAAATCCCAAACTGACCATTCAGATGTTTACTGAAATGTGGCTAATGAGGCTGGGCGTGGTGGTTCATGCCTGTAATCCCAGCACTTTCAGAGGCGAATGCGGGAGGATTGCTTGAGCCCAGGAGTTTGAGACCAGCCTGGGCAACATTATGAAACTCCATCTCTACAAAAACTATAACAAAAAATTGGCAGGCATGGTGGCACACACCTGTAGTCACAGCTACTCAGGAGGCTGAGATGGGAGGATCACTTGAGCCCAGGAGTTGGAGGCTGCAGTGAGCTGTGATGGTGCCACTGCACTCCGGCCTGGGTGACAGAGACAGAACCTGTCTCAAAAAGAGGAAAAAAAAAAAAAAAAGACGTGTGTCTAATTTCAGAATTAGGCAATGCAACTAGTTGAATATTTTATTGCACATTGTCCATGATCTTATATGTAAGGCACATTTCCTAGGGAAAGCAGGCATGGATTTAATCATTTATGTTGTACTGCACACTTATTTGCACTATGTAAAACCATGGCTGGAGTGAGAGAAATAACACTTTTAAAAACCAACCTTATATTCTCCATGTCATTACCAGTAATTGATAACTGTTTAATCATCAACTCCAAAGATATTTCTTCCTTATTGGAAGAATTCCAGATAAAACTAAACAGAACTGTCCAAACACATTTCATCCTAATAAAGTTATTTATATAATCACTTATTAGGTCATAACTTATAACTGAGTAATGTTCTTTAGATCTTAAGTGCTTGTCTTTATATAGCTTTACAATAAATTTGTTTCTCTTAAAATTATCTGTGCACTAGATTAAGTTAAATTAAAATAAAATGTATTTAACTGTCTTCAAAATAAGGTATAGGCTATTTTCTTCCTGTAGACTGACAGCACAGATATTGGAAAATCTCTTCTACTTGGTTTTCTGATTCAGTTCAAACTTGTGCTTGCAAGTGAATCTTACGTAAATGTCACCTAAAAAGAGCTCAAGAAGACTCATAAAAAATATTTTTTTCGTAATTTGATTAACTTTCAAGTCATTCACCAAAAGTCAGACCATGCTAGAAAGGGAAGAAAAGTTGGACAACATTCTTGTTTTACCACAAAGACCATGCCAGTTAGCTGGCTTGATTCTCCCACTGATGGGGAGAATGTTTACATTTTAACAATAACTTCACAAATAAACAGATGTAAGAAGTGTTTTCAGTGCATAAAGATCATATACTTTATAAATCCACCTCTCATCTTTCTTCTGGACAGACCACATCTGACTTCGAACGTACTTACTGCAATCAAAAGTGTTTTGTAAAGGACCCTCCTCAGGAATAAACAAGCTCACTAAACCCTCCA
The DNA here is from genome assembly GCF_000001405.40 of Homo sapiens. NCBI lineage: Eukaryota > Metazoa > Chordata > Mammalia > Primates > Hominidae > Homo > Homo sapiens. The sequence goes on from NC_000006.12 coordinate 162,726,777, forward strand.
TACATAACCTGGAGAAACCTCCACAATAATGAAACCCCATCTAGCACTGTTTTTCAAACATATGGTGCATTTCCATTAATTTTCAGGGATAGCCCCTAAAGTAACTTTTGGCTCAACAACCCTGGAAGAGAGGACCTTTGCTCATCTTACACATCAAGTGTTCATGAACAACTCTGATGCCACTAAGTTTCGTTCACAAACTTGCACCTCGGTCGTTCTTTTACAAAAAAAAAAAAGAAAGGTTATTTTGCAAAAGGCAATAGATTTAATCTTGGCTACTATTTACTCTTAATGTTTCTTTCATCTCAGCCCTCCAATGAGAAGTTTAAAAGGAAACATCCGAGGGAGCAAGTTTAGATCTATCTGGAGGAGTTTCTGTGGAGCCAGCCACCCTCACCAGGTGCCTTCCATTAGAGTTTAATGCTTTGCTGCGGTTTCCTGAAAGAGCCCCACAGAGAGTGGGTCTCGATGGGTCCTGAACCGCACCACAACCGGCCAGTGAGGTGAGGGGCGAAGGTGAGGGGCGGCGGCGGGGCGAAGGTGAGGGGCGGCGGCGGGGAGAAGGCTTCGGGACCCCACACGGTCCGGGGGACCGCGAACGAGGAGCGGGGGTGCGGGGCCGCCTGGCGTCCCCGTCGAGGCGGTCTTCATGAGAACGCTCAGAGCAGGGGCGGGCAGGCGAGGGCTTCGAACGCACACACTGGGGCCCCGGACCCGCGTCGCTGAGCTGGGGAGCCCGGCGGCGCGGGCCGGGGACGGCACGGGCACTTTGGCCCCGTCATTGACAGTTGGCACCGGGGGTCCTGGTCGGCCGAGGCGGGGCGTGGCGCCATACCGGGGCGTGGGGCGGCGCAGAGAGGCTGTACCTGGCAGGTACCCACGTACCTATCATGGTCACTGGGTAGGTGGCGGCTGCGGGCCAGGAACAGGCCCATGCGCGCAGCGGCGCCAGCCGCGCCTCCCACCAGCGGCTCTCCTGGGTTAAATCCTCCAGGCCTCCCCGCCCCCGCGCCCGGCCCTAGGAATGCGCACGCGCGGAGGGCGCGGCCCAGGGCCTGCTGGGAGTCGTAGTTCTAACGCGTAGTTTCTCCTCACGCCTCCTGCCCCCAGCCCCCCACCGCCGCCCTTTCCGGCTTCAGGCCCAGCAATCTTACGTCACCGGGGGGCGGGGCTATGCGCCCGCCGTGTTGACCAGTCGCTTAGCAACCGGGAGGCTTACCTTTGGAAGCTTGTTGCAGCTCTAGCCAAGGTCCTGCCCTCTTCCCGCCCCGCCCCTAGGGTCCAGCTCCCTTCACCTAGGAGCTGCCAAACATCTGGATCAACCTGGGCACTACGAGGGGTTGAATTTCTACCATTATCGCGCCTTTTGATATTTTTTTCCAGACCTCCTGCTCACATCCGTAAAGCCCACTGATTCTTTTACTACACTTTTTATGAGAACAAGACATTTTCTAGGAAGATGGTGGCAGAAAAAGAGACCCTGAGCTTAAACAAATGCCCAGACAAGATGCCGAAGAGGACCAAGCTGCTGGCACAACAGCCGCTCCCGGTGCACCAGCCTCACTCTCTGGTTTCTGAGGGTTTCACAGTCAAAGCCATGATGAAAAACTCAGTCGTAAGTGATCTTCCTGAATTAAATGCACTCGCTCTGAATCAGGGGACACGAGATTTACAGAGGTTGGCCAGCCTTAGGATGGACTCTGAGCCATGTCCTGGGTGGTCTTTGCCAAAAAAGGCAGTTACTTGGCAAGTAGCAAACGGTGCCCCACAGTGTGTGGGGGGCAGGCTAGGTTGTTAGAATCTTGGGCAAGTGATGTACTCTGCCCATTTATAAGCACCTTCCTGATAACTTATGGTTTCTGGACCGCCCAAAATTACTCTTAAGCTATTTACACGAGGAAAAAAGATCCCCTTTACTTACTAATTCCTAACTAGCCCCACTCAGCAAAGGGCCTTATAGAAGGTGAGTTCTTAGAAATCATAAACTCTTGCAAAATTTAACATGAGCTGATATACAACCGGGAACATAAACTCATGAAATAATCTATAATGAGAAATTTCTTCACTTCAACCTAGGAAATTTTAGAATATCCTAGCATTTGCTCTAACAACACTTGTCTCTTACAAAATGATGTCATCTTCTTAGAGTACTGAAAGCCAACTTAATATGAACACTGTTTCCTGACAGGCCTTTTAAGATGATGTGCTTTAAACAATACAAGCTTTAGCTCATATATCTCTGCTACTAATACAATTCATATTTCATCTCTATTATTTGTAGTAATAAAAATAAAATATTCTAAGTATCATTAGAGAAAAAAGATTAAAAATATATACAAATATTTTAGCTGTCTGCATGATAGTATATATTTTTTAAACCTTCCTATTTGTTAAATAGCTTTACACTTGGTATGCTAAGACAGATTTTGCTACTGAGTAAGCAACTGTCTGGGAATGAGGCATTAAATAATAAATGCATCTTTCAAATTTGTGTAATTTACACCCTGGGAAGATCTGAGTTATTACATGGCAATTCATTATGTTAAATGAATAGTGTTGTTTTCCAGTGTCACATTATTTCCTTTGCTTATAGGTTGCAAACCTGATAACTTATTCCTAAACGACATACTTAAAATACATGAATGAAACAGATTACCTATAGACCTCTAGGCCAGGTTCCCATGTGGCTATGCAAAACGATATCCTAATTATTGGGAAGTGTGTCAGGTGATTTACAGTAGTTAAAATTCTTGGAAATGGACTAAAATTCTGCTTGTTGTAACTAATTCTTTTTCATGGAATTTCACATAAATTGGTTCTCCTAGGAGTCAAGATGATGCATTTATCAGCAATACCATAACCATTCAGGTTAATCATTTAGTTTTTCTTCTACACAATATTTACAATTTTGATGTTTTTTAATGTTATACTTTAATTTTTTTTTTACTGGTTGGGGTTCTTTTCTGTTTTTTCCTAAACCTGTATTCATAATTCTTGTATCATATTAATTCTTTAATATAATCTTACACCTAAAGAGATAGTTCTGCAAAATCTGATGTTTCTGTATTGCCAAATGTAATAAGTATGCCTACATGACTTAAAAAAAACATTGATTATGAAGCAGGCTTCTTTATAAACAACTTAATTGAGATCCATTATCTTCTCTTTTTATGTTCTAAAGGAAAATCTTGTACTAGCAATACCTCTCTTGCCATTGGAAATCGTAATTCTTAAATGCAAACATTATTTATCCATTCATCTATTTATTCAGTCAACAACTGTCTCTCTTTTTTTTTTTTTTAATACCCAGTGTTTGCTAAGCACAGTTCTGGGGATTTGGGATCAGCAAAGCAAAGTCCCTGCCCTTAGTACTCCGAGGAAAACCAAAATAACAACATTCAAATCTTGATAAAAGAAGGCTGGACAATACCGTTTATACAAAATAACTTCAGTGGTACAGGAAATAAAAATTTTCAATTTCATAACCAATATTTACATTTCACCATTTTTATCTTTAGCAGTATAGACTTCTCAGCATTATAAGGTGAAAATGTCCTCATCTCTTTCTGAAGGTGTATTTTGATTCAGGACGTGTATGCCAATTTCCAGCTTTTCTTAATTGCAACCTCATGCTCCAAGAGCCAACACCCTCCAAACCACTTTTCCAGTTAGATAAGTCAACATTCCAATGCTCTTCCACCTAAAACATGAAGAACTGTATATATCATAAGGAGTTATACAGAGACTCCTGATATTTCTCTGAGTGCGATAGTGATACAAGTACATAAACTTGATAATAAATATGTTTCATCAAATGGGCTGTGCAAGCAGAAATGCTTATTTAAACAATCTGGATATGAGAGTGCAAGATTATTGAAAAAATAATGATAAATGTAAATGGCAAAATTTTTAAAATCTCAATGTCAAATATTTTTCTTCAATAGAAACTAGACTTTCTTTCCATGAAATTTTTGTTGCATTCTATAAGAAAACAAGCATCACAAAAGCCCTGCAATGAAATAATATTCAAATTCACATTTTTATAGTGCTTGCCTATAAAGAGATATGAGATACACAACTTGAAGATTTCATAGTTCATTTTCCTTTAAAAGTCTTGTTTGGGGTGTGATAGAGCCCATGACCAGAAACTAGTAACCCAGTATTTTGTTGTCTTTATCTTGTCAGATACTTTCTGTGCTGAACAAGCTTATCACGAAGCAAGTTAGAAAATCGACCCAGGGTTATGGTGACAGAGAAGTTGAGTTCAGCCTAAGCTTTCTATTACAGCTTTCCTTCTCAAAAGACTATAGATGCTTTATGCTCAAAGTTTAGGGGAATGGAATAAATAATTTTTTTAATATTAAAGGTTGAGTATTCCTATTCCAAAAGTCTGAAACCTGAAGTGGTCCAAAATACAAAACTTTTTGAGTGTTGACATTACACTCAAAGAAAACTCTTTTGAGCATTTTGGATTTCAGATTTTCAGAACTGGCGTGACCATCAGTATATAATACAGATATAGTCAGCTCTTTGTACAGATTCTGCCTCCATGGATTCAACTAACCTTGGATTGAAATGTTTGGGATAAAAATTTTATCTGTATTGAACATGTACAGACTTTTTTTTTTGAGTCATTATTCCCTAAACAATAGAGCATAGCAACTATTTATGGAGCATTTATATTGTTTTAGATATTATAAGTAATATAGACATGATTTAAAGTATATAGGTAGAAATGTGTAGGTTACATACAAATACTACGCCATGTTATATCAGGGACTTGAGCATCTGAAGATTTTGGTATCTGCAGGAGGTCCTGGAAACAATTCCTCATGGAGACTGAGGGATGACTGTATTCCAAATTTGAACAAAAAACAAAAACAAATCCAAAACACTTCTGGTCCCAAGCATTTCAGATAAGGGATAGTTCAACCTATACTTTACATGTATAGTGTGTTTTATATTTACCAATCATGTGCTCATTTAACACGTAGTGGTAATCATCAATATTTATAAATTATATATTAAAATATTAATTTGGCTTCTGTAACACTGACCAAATAACAATAGCTTAATTAAGATGGAAGTTGTTTCTCTCATAATAGAAGTTCAATTTTGTAGGCAATCCCAGGAGGTTGGGCAGCATTCCCCATGAGGCAGGTGCAGGGGCATAGGAGCATGTTTGTTCTTTGCATCCTGTAAAATGACACCTGAGACAAGGGGGGCTCGAGACCACCAGGGTCAAATACCTGCCCTCAAGAAGGAGGAAAGTGGAAGCAGAGAGCTTCCCATTATGTGCATGACCCAGACACAGCACCCCACTTTCATTCTCATCCAACTGGCCAGAACCTAGTAATAAATACACCTACATTTTCCCTTTTTGCAAAAGCCTATGAAAGCTTGACCCATGAAGCAACTCCCAAGCCCACGTACCTGTCTCCTCAGGAAAAGGATGAAGGAAGCTATGTAGTTCCAAAAGGGCATCATCTCCAACACCTACTTCAGGTGGAGGAGAGAAAAATGGGTATGGAGCAATCTGCAAGAATGAGGCAGGAAGAAATGAAGAGCAAACAGCTTCACTATGAGGGCATGTCCCAGAAACAGCAATCCTCACTCCTGCTCAAATCCATTGCCAAAACCTAGTCTTATGGCCACAGCTAGTTGCAAGAGAGGCTGGGACATGTAGTCTTTAACTGGTAGCTCTGTGTCCGGCTCAAACTCACAATGTTTTATTACTGTAGCCAAGGAATATTGGGGGATAATTAGAAGTGTCTAGCTCCAGTGCTAAATGTGCTACATTATTAGTGAAGAAAAGGAGAGAGACAAGTAAAATAATTACAATACAAATAAACAGATGTCTCTGGCAGAGAAGTACTAATGATGAAGGGACCAAGTGGCGATGAACTAATGGGTGCCCTCATCACCTTTTGTCTAGGCTTGTACAATATCATCCACCTATCAATTGGTTGACTCCCTCAATCAATTATCAGTACAATTACACTAATCTTTCTGGTACAATGTTCTGCTCCTATCACTATTCAGAGCTTTTGGAGCTTCCCAATTCTTATAGAAAAAAAGTCAAGATACTTCCCCAGGGCCAGCAAGGTCTTGTGTGATCTAATCCCATTCTGTGTTCTAAAATTTCATCTCCCACTGTTCTCATTTGCTTCAGTCAATCTGAACCAAGGAAATAAACTCATATTCTTTATTTTTGTGTTTCTGTTTATGTTGTTCCCTTTGCTCGAACACCCTTCTCCCTACATATCTGCATATACAAATTCATTCTATCATCAGGTAACACATATCTATTGATCACAGACTATGTGCAAAGCACTGTTTTAAATGCTAGGAATTTAGCAGTCAGCAAAAGACAGAACACATGCTGTCAAGAAGCTTATATTTTTGTGGCCAGCAAAATGCCAACTGCTTTAAGAAGACTTCTTTAATTCTCCCTTCCTGTCACCCACATAGAAAGTTATCCTTTATTCATTGTGTTCTACTTTGTATTATGGTCATTTCTGCTCATGTTTTATCTCCTTATGTAAATTCTCCGTGAGGGCAGTATCCACATCTAAGTCACTTTTTAATCTTAACCAGAACCTAACAGTGTATTCAATAAATATTTGATGAATGAAGGAAAGCAATTCTACCCTTTCTTCTTATCTCATATTCTCCTACTTTCTTATTATAATTGTTATTTGTCTCTATTTTGAATTTTTTTAAGCCATCCTCTCTAATTGTGGAGCCCAGAAGCTCCCTTTAAAACTTGAGAAGGCCGAATCATGGCATTCGTCACCTCAACCCCTCAGGTGGCTCCCTGCCTCACTCAGAGTAAAAGCTAAGCTTCCTCTATTGGGAAGGCCCTGTGTGATCTGCCCACCCTTGCTGCTTTATGCAACTCTGCTGGCCCTGCCTCCGGAACTCAGTTAGTGCCACGCCTTTGCCCTTCCTGTTTCCTCTGCCTGAAATGCATTTTACCCTGTGTGTCCTCATCTCTTGATGCTTCAAATTTCTGTTTAAAAATTAGCTATTTAGTGAGCCTCTTCCTGACCACTCTATTTTAAACTTCAGACCCTTAACAATCCCTTCCATCCCTGCTCCAGCACTCCCATCTCCCTTCCCTGTTTTATATTTTTCCCTCTAATATTAATTTAGTTGAGCCTGTGTTTTTCTTCTACCAGAGAGTAAGCCCCAGAAGGGCAGGAATTTGTTTATTTCACCCATTGCTGCATCCTCACCTCAAGAAAAATTTATGGCACATAGTAGCTGCCATTTATCTTATTTTGATCAGTTGAATTAATGAAAGACTATATTTTATACTATAATTAGACAATCATCTTCAAATCAGTGGCTCCAAAGAAAATGCCAATGATGTTATATAGATATTAAATCTAGAAATGAGAATAATTTGCAGCTGTTTTATGCAGTATCATAAAAGTTACACATGTTCATTGAAAAAAGTTAAAGTGGTTTGGCTTAGAAAAGCTTTTTCCTGTCTAAGATGATGAGAAAAAATTCAGTCTTTTTTTCCTGGATTCTGTTTTACTTTTAATTTTTTATTTTGAAAGTTTGCTTCACCTTAAGTCATTTTGATTTTGGAAGGTATAAATTTTGACTTATTTTCCCTAAATGGCCAGAGAATTGTTACATTACCCTTTATATACTTAAATTAAATTATATCAAACATCTTCCTATCAAATTTAGGAATTCCTATCCAATTTAAATAATATATCAGTGCTGTTTTTATTATTTCAAGTAACTTTATTAATAATTGATTACTTAATGTCATATATTTATTCTTTCATATATAATAGGGCTAGTGATCTTCATTCCATTTGGCTTTTCCAACCAATCTTATGAAAAGGCAGAGTAGACTGTGTTTTTCCACTTAATGTATAAATCTCAAACAATTTACTATTTTGTGGTTGTTTAGAGATACTTATTAAAGGATAGAGCAAGGACTGGAACCTAGATTTCTAGGTTTTTCTTACAACAGTTCTCTCACATATTGTAAGTGAATCACTTGGTGAATATCAAACCAAACACACTGATACAACCAACACCCAAATCCAGAAACATTGTCAACACCACAGAACCCCATCTGTCTCTTTGTAGTCACTACCCAACATTCCCACATGCTAACCTTCTTCTGACTTTGGCCAACAGACTAGTTTCACCTGTTTTTGTACTTCTATACATGGAATCATAAAGTATGTAATTGTTTTGTGTCCAGTTTCTTTCATCAACATTCTGTTTGTGAGATTCACCCACATTATTGCATACAACTATAGTTGTAAGTAAATCCTTCATGTTTATCCCTGTCTAGTATTTTCTTGGATATACCATAATTTATTTATCCATCGCTTCCTCGATGGGTATTTGTGTGACCTCCAATTTAGAACTGTTACAAATAGCACTGCTAGGAAAATTTTTACACTTTTTTTGGAGAAAGTATCTACGCATGACCAAGGACATATTTCTGGGAGTGGAATTGCTGGACCCTAAGTCATGCTTGTTTGGCTTTAGTAACTAAACTAAAGCTGTTTTCCCAACTGATTTTTCAAATTTAAACTCTTTCCAGTGCTATATGAGAGTGCTGTTTGTGCTACAGTCTCACCAATAATTAATATTTTCTTTATTTTGCATTTTAAGTATTCCAGTAGGTATGTAATGTTATATCCTTGTCATTTGAATATTAATTTTATTGTGACTAATGAAGTTAACAACTTCTTCATATATTTACTGTCCATTTGGATATACTCTTTATTGAAGTGTCTTTTTAAGACTTTTGACTGTTTTTCTCTTGGCTTGATTTGGTTTTTTATTTATTTGTAGTACTTTTTTCCATCTATATTCTAAATGATATGAGGCACTTGTCTAGTATTGTATGTATTGCAACTACAGTTACCCACTCTGTGAGTTTCCTTTCCATTCTCAATAATGGCTTTTATTGCTCTTTTTAAAGTTACATACTTTGTGAAGAAAAATGTTTACCTCAAACATACTTGTGTATTTCTTCATAATGTTTCCTCAACCAGTTTCAACTAGCTCACAGTGAAATACATATACATTAAGACACATGACTTGGAAAATAAATTGGAGCGATTGGAAATGAAATAGAATAAACAACAGAGAAATAATAAAATAAAGTGTAATTAAAGTAGAAAGCTTGGGCTCAAGAAAAGAAGCATCAATTTTGTCATTCATAAGAGTCAGTATATTTATCAATGGATGTTCAAATTTAATTCTGAGCTTCTTGGCATCTGTTGCTGAAAGGAGAACATTATACACATCTCATTATCACAAAAGGAGAAGCCCATCAATCCCTATAGGGAACTGAAGCTTTCTCTACACTGAACTCTCTGAGAAATTGGTCATGTCACATTTTAAATACATGCAACATACCATATCTACATTTTTATCTTTTGCAAGAAATGCAGTGAAAATATCATCCACAAAAGATTTCAGTGAGAGCTAAGTACACGTTATTAAAATGTATCTTGGCAAATTGGATTTTGCCTGATATTAAATTGTTGTAGTACATGTACGTAGACTTTCGGTGGTCCAATTTGATCTGGAAATGGAATTTACAGTGCTCACAGAAATGTGTAGATTGTATATATTTTAGTTATTGTTCTCAGTTCATTTCATGATGGGAGCAAGATAGCTGCGTTTTTGTAGTTGGCAGGGAGAAAATGTGTAATATGATAAGAGCACAGAGCTGAACGACCTGAGAGGGTCTGAGTCCAGGAAAGTTTCCTGAAGGGAATCATGTTTGGTGAAATATAACAGTTGAGAAGGACCTAGGGGAGTGTGCAAAGGCTGAGAGAGACCAGGCTCCCAGCTACTGTGGTTTTCAATCTTATTTTCTGCCTTTTTTTTTTTGCCATAAATAATTATGTTGTAAGTTCTATTCATTATATACATGTTAAAAATTATTTAGATTGCATATATATTTTATATATTTTGAGAGCATATAGAGTGTATATACCTACCTGTATGTTTGTATAGATTGCAATGTACATAATTATAATACCTTATATGGAATTTTATGGATTCCTTCTAATATGCTAATATTTTACATGTTGTTGAAAGCTCATAAGCATTTAAAAGGCTTCATAAAATTCTATGCTTTGAATTTGTCATAATTTACTTTGTCTTTCACTTAGGTTGTTTTCAAGTATTTACTATTAGTGTATACATAGGGTTGAAATTAGTATCTTTCTATAAAAAGTTTTTTCTGTATTTTACAGTATTTCCTTGAAATACAATTTCTGAAGTAGATGTACTGGGTCAGAGAGCTTATCAATCTTAAAACCCCAATCAAGGTTTTATTAATACTGCCACCTGCTGTGCTTGAATGTGCCTATTCTAGCTCCTCCTGTGGCCTGCCTAAGGGGCTTTTGACTTCCCGGACCTTGCCTGCTGTCTACCTCCTCATCTGCCAGTGTTGAGGGTCAGGATCTCAGCACCTCTGAAACCTATTCATGATACAAATGAGGGGGTTGCAAACATCTAAGGCTGTAGTTCTCAGATTGCAAATTGTAATCACTTGAAAGATTCCCATTTAATTCTTCTAAGTGTTCTGGGGTTGATTTAATTAGTCTTTAATTAGGGGTTGAGAACATCTGGGTACATAGTATGATGGGGAAGATCTCAGAAAACTATTTTCTAGATGGCTACTCAATTTTCCCAAAGACATTTATTATGTAATATTTTATTCCCCATTGCTTTGTGTGTTCTTTTTCTTTTTGTGTGTTTCATAATTCTACATAATAGAGATATTTGAGAGGAATTTTTAACGAATGTCCACAGTTTTAATTATTGTGGTAATTAAACCACAACTTGGTAATATGTTTTAGAAATTGGTGGGGCTAATTTATCCTGTTAATTCCCAGAATGTTTATTTTAAATTTTAACATTTTACCGGTTTAATCTTCCAAATGACCTTTTAATAAGATGTAAAGTCGAACATCATTTTGAGTTGGAAATGATCATATAACTCACTAGCAAATAATGATCATTGTATAACAGTCTTCACTTATAGTAATATAATTTATCATTCCATGCTTATAGGTATACATTTTCCTAATAAATATTTTTATATTTATTTTATACCAAGCCATCTCACTAACCAATGTTTTCACTGAATTGCATGTATTTTATTTTAATCATGTTCTTCTACATTTTGAAAAATTTAAATCTACAAATAAATATAGAAATAGAAAAAGAGGCATTTATTCACCATCTAGATTTAATAAACAATATTTTTAATTGTAACATTATATTCTTATAAGTAAAACAATAACCTCACTAAGAGAGCCACAGCTTAATTTGTACTCTGTCCTTTCATTCCTAGAGGCAAGCAGGATCCTGAAATTTGTATACATTATTCCTAAATATGCATAATGAATATATATGTATTCGTATATCCTATAGATAGATGGATACAGAGATAGATGCAGAGATATAGAGATAATAGAAATTCAAGAACTGTTCTTCAGGTTACTTTTTCATCTGAGCTATTTGGTTACAGTGCAGGTTTCTGTAATGCCTTCAGGTCATATTCAGTTCATTAATAGCAGAATGCTATCAGTGTACGTAAGACGTTCAGATGTGACTTTCCCCATCTTGTTAGTATTTTGTGTCACAAAGTAACAGCAACTGGGTACAAATTATACTAACACAGCTAAATGCAGAGTGACACAGAGTAATAGTGTCATAGATTATACCTGTTTGCTATGGGTTCTTCTTCCTAGTTCTGTTTGTGCACTTGCTCTTGGAAGCATCTAATGTGAGGCAAGCCCAATCTTTGTAGATCCTTACAATGTCCCTATCATTTTTTCAAAAGGCATAGCACTATACTGTATTTACTCCAATATTTCATTTTTAAAGGTAAGGAATGTAATATTTTAACTGTGGTAGTTCATTTTAATTAGAATGATTATTAAATGCTCTGGTTACAAAGTTGCATGTATGTATAGAGCTTTGTAAACATTATTTTCCCCATAGGTTTCCCCATACACTTTGATATTTCTAGTTAGCCATTTTGTTAAATGGTGGTTCTCCAGGAATGCATGTCCTGTTAATAGCAAATTTGTTTACCTGCTATGTCATATTCCATTGTGTGAATAAACCAGCTTTTTAGTTCATTCTCATACTGAGGGTCCGTTAGGTTTCTACATTGCAGTATCATAACATCCTATTGTAGGATTCCTTGTGCATGAAGGCCAAAGTTCACCAGATTTGGAATTGCTGAAAGATGAGGTATAACTTCAACTTTAATAGAGTTTGTCAAATTTCTCTTCAAAGTAGTATATAAATATTTATATTGTGACCAACAGCTAATGAGAATTCTTTTTTCCAAATGCTTGTTTCCAAGATCATAAATTGTTGGTATCAGACTAAAATTGTACCAATCTGAAGTATATGAAATAATATCTTGTTTTAATTTTGCATTTCTCTGATTACTAGTGGTCATGTTTCCTTTTTATAGGAGTTTTATCATGTAGATTTCTTCCTCTTTAGTGTGCATATTCATAGCCTTTGCCCATTTTTTCTGTTACATTGTCAGTCCTTTTGTTATTGACATATAGCTGTACTTAACATACTCTAGATATGGATATGTTCTGGATATGGTATGTACATATTTTCTTGCAGTTAGCGACTTGTCTTTATACTTATTTTTACATCTTTTTAATACATAAATTTTAAATTTAACTTTAGGTATTTATACTTATCACATTCTTCCTTTATGGTTTTGGTGTTTTTAAAAAATTTTTGTCGGCCAGGCGTGGTTGCTCACGCCTGTAATCCCAGCACTTTGGGAGGCTGACGCAGGTGAATCACGAGGTCAGGAGATTGAGACCATCCCGGCTAACATGGTGAAACTCCATCTCTACTAAAATACAAAAAATTAGCTGCATGTGGTGGCAGGTGTCTGTAGTCCCAGCTACTCAGGAGGCTGAGGCAGGGGACTCACTTGAACCCGGGAGCCAGAGATTGCAGTGAGCTGAGATAGTGCCACTGCACTCCAGCCTGGCAACAGAGTGAGGCTCCATCTTTAAAAAAAAAAAAAAAAAAAAAAATTGCCTAGTTTCAAAAGAATTTTTTTGATCCTAATATTGTAAGGTTTCTTCTATGTGTTTTATTCTTATAATGTTCACACATACATTGTTAATTATTTAACTGCAAATTTACTTTTAAGATGGGAGGTAAGGCTTTCTTTTGATCTTTTCCATATGGAGAGCCACCAAGACAGTACCATCTATGAATACTAACTGAGTACTCTGTATTATGTCCCATTAGTCTCTTTGTCTGTCTCTGAACCAGTATCACACTGCCTTTATTGTTGTAGCTTTACAAATTTTGTATTTAGCGAGATGAGTTCCCCCAATTTGTTTATATCCTAGTTGACGTCGTTGCTTTCTTACTATCTATAGGAATTTTAGAATAAGCGGTCAAGTTTCATGAAAATTTCCTTGGAGATTTTAACTAGAATTTTATTCAAGGTGCAATTTGTGGGACAATATCAATCATCTTTTTTTTTTTTGAGACGGAGTCTTGCTCTGTCACCCAGGCTGGAGTGCAGTGGCGTGATCTCAGCTCACTGCAAGCTCCACCTTCCGGGTTCACGCCATTATCCTGCCTCAGCCTCCTGAATAGCTGGGACTACAGGCGCCCACCACCACCCCCAGCTAATTTTTTGTATTTTTAGTACAAAAAATTTAGTAACACCCCTGTGTTAGCCAGGATGGTCTTGATCTCCTGACCTCGCGATCCACCTGCCTTTGGCCTCCCAAAGTGCTGGGATTACAGGCATGAGCCACTTTTTTTTTTTTTTGAGATGGACTCGCTCAGCCACCCAGGCTGGAGTGCAGTGGCATAATCTCAGCTCACTGCAACCTCTGCCCCCTGGGTTCAAGTGATTCTCCTGCCTCAGCCTCCAAAGTAGCTGGGACTACAGGCCCGCGCCACCACGCCCAGCTAATTTTTGTATTTTTAGTAGAAACGGGGGTTTCACCATGTTAGCCAGGATGGTCTTGATCTCCTGACCTCATGATCTGCCCTCCTCAGCCTCCCAAAGTTCTGGGATTACATGCATGAGCCACCACGCCCAGCCATTTCAATTTTTTATATTCTTAATTTGCTAAGGGTGTTTTTCTTAATTGGAAGTAGTATTGAATTTTATCAGACACTTGCTGCATCTGTTGTGATGATTATAAGATTTGTTCCTCTTCAGTCTGTTAACGTTAATTATGTGAATACATATATTCTAATGCTGAATTATCCTTATATTCTTTTACATTATTTAATCATGATGTATTTAGCTTAAAAAAACAAGCATAAATTATTGGTGTCTCTGATTTACCAGGCAGCAAAGTCCTTCCTAGTGATCCACCACAAGGTGCTTTTGTCATATCATTCCAAGATGAGGTACTATTGCTAGGGTAGTCTTTTCAAAACTGTGTGTTATTGCTAGGGTAGTTAGTGTCTTCAAGATCAGGTATTATTGCTAGGGTAGTGTCTTAGTAGGCTGGGTCTGTCATAACACAATACCATAGACTGGGTGGCTTAAACATTTATTTCTCATGGTTCTGGAGACTGGGAAGTTCAAGGTCAAGGTGCCACCATTTTGGCTCTTGGTGAGGGCTCTCTTCCGTGCTTGCAGATAGCCACCTTCTTGCTGTGTCCTCACATGGCTTTCCTCCATACATGTTTGTGAGGAGAGCATCTCTCTCTCTCTCTCTCTCTCTTTCTTGTAGAGCCACTAATCCTGGCCTAAAGGCCCCATTCTCAAGACCTATTCTAACCCTAATTACTACCCCCAAAGCCCCATCTTAAAATACTTCACATTAGGGATTAGAGCTTCAACACATTAATTTTGGGGAACACAAACAGTCAGTATCAGGTAAGAGATGGGATTGCTGTGTTTGGCTCATCTGTCAAGACTGGAAGAAGGACCATCTCTTGGAGTTCTTGGCTGCCAGAATGAAACAATATTTCTATAAACTAAAAGAAATCAAAAACCTTCCTTTGGAAAGAAAACTAAATGTGTGTACCACATTTGCATTCTACAAAAAATATTTATTAGATTTTAATGATTTTTTTACATACTCATAATTTTTTTGCAGTGAGAACAGTTAAATCTACTCTCAGTGATTTTCAAGAATGCAATTCATTGTGATTAACTATAGTCACCATGTTGTACAATAGATCTCTTGAATCTATTTCTCCTATTTAACTAAAATTTTATGTCCTATCACCAACATCATCCCAACTCCCTCATCTCCCAGCTTCTGGTAAGTACCCTTCTACTCTTTGCTTCTGTGAGTCTGGCTTTTCTAGATTCCACGTATGATATGGTTTGGCTGTGTCCTCACCCGAATCTCATCTTGAATTTTAGCTTCCATAATTCTCACATGTTGTGGGAGGGACCCAGCAGGACATAATTGAATCATGGGGAGTGGTTTCCCTCATACTATTCTCGTGGTAGTGAATAAGTCTCACAATATCTGATGGTTTTATAAGGGGTTTCCCCTTTCATTTGGCTCTCATTCTCTCTTTGTTGCCACCATGTAAGACATACCTTTCGCCTTCCACCATGATTGCGAGGCTTCTTCAGTCACGTGGAACTGTGAGTCTATTAAACTTCTTTTTCTTTATAAATTACCCAGTCTCAGGTATGTCTTTATTACCAATAGGAGAATGGACTAATACAACATGTAAGTGAGATTGTGTGGTATTTGTCTTTCTGTGTCTGGCTTATTTCACATGCATAAATATTCTCCAGGTTCATCATAGTGTCATAAATGACAGGATTTCTTTTTTTTTCTCATTCCCTCAAGCACTTACTCTTTGTGTTACAATACTCTTGTAGTAGTTTTAATCCTTCTCTTTTTAAGGCTGAATAGTATTCCATTGTCTATATATGCTACACTTTCTTTAACTATTCATCCATTGGTGGATGCTTAGGTTGTTTCCATACCTTGGCTCTTGTGAATAATGCTGTAATAAACATGAGAGTGAAGCTATCTCTTTGAATACTGATTCAAAGAGAATAGAAAGAAGATATTCAAAGAATATCTTCTTTGAATACAGGTTCAAAGAAGAAAAGTGGAATTGCTGGATTATATGGTAGTTTAAATTTTAATTTTTTGAGGGACCTCCGTACTGTTTTTTATAGCAGCTGCACCATTTTGCATTCCTGCCAACAGTGTGCAAGGGTTCCCATTTTTCCACATCCCCACAAACACTAGTTATCTTTTGTCTTTTTGATGATAACGGTTCTAACAAGTGTGAATATCTCATTATGCTTTTAAATTACAGTGCCCTGATGATTAGTGGTACTGAGCATTTTTTCATATATCTGCTGGGCATCTGAATGTCTTATTTTGACAAATGTCTATTCAGTCCCTTTGCCCACTTTAAAAAATTTGTTCTTTTGCTATTGAGTTATTTGAGTTCATGTTTTTCTTTTACTATTTTGGGTAATTTTAAACAATTATTTTCATTGTAAAAGAGAAAAATTCTTATGTAGAGTCTTAAGAAAATACATAAAAGAGAAAAGATAAATCTCAAATCTCATTTTTTAGTGTTAATCACTCTTGAATTATTCCCACATCTCTACATGCCTTTTTTGTTTGTAGAATTGGAGTCATATCATACATATATCATACTATATTTTACATTTTAGTATGACCAATATATTCTCATTGCTAATTTATTAATGTTTTTTCCTTGATTGGATTTATTTATGCTTTGGTTTTCTTTGTATGCTATCTCTCGAACTGACATACCAATTCTTCCAGTTTTGATAATGGATTTCTTATTTCTACTCTCACATATTTTTTTCTTTTGCTTTCCATTATTAAACTTTTTTACTGAGTTTTTGAATTATTTATTTAATGCCTCTTTTTAACAGTTTTATTGAGATGTAATTCATATACATATAATTCACTCAGTTACAGTGTAACATACAGTGGCTTTTAGTATATTCTCAGAGTTGCACGTATATCACCACAATCAATTTTGAAACATTTTCCTCATGCTAAGGAAAAAAAACCCTTAATTATCATCCACCAAATGGCTTATTGGTCCCAGCTCTAGGAAATTGTTAAGCTATTGTCTCTAGAAATTTGCCTATTCTAGACATTTGTCTTTTGAAATACTTTTGTTTGTAATAGAAATTATTGTTCTTGTTATTTAAAAGATATGTAATTGTATTTTTGCTTCCCTCTTTTATATGGTTGTTACTTATGAGGAATTATTTTTCCTATTGGTTGGGGCTTTCTGATTATGGTTTGATTATGATTTTAAAAAATACAATTGTTGCTTGATGGTTATTTAGTTTCTACAGTCTAAGCTGCTTGAAGTTTATTAGAGTTTTGGTCTAGAATAGGATCATTTTCTAGAAATGTTCCTATGAAAACTTGAAAAAAAGACTTTTTTTGTCTGTAGTTATTCTGGATCATTAAATGCAGATCATTTGTTTCAGTGGGAAAGATATCAGAGACATCTATATAAAGATATTATTCCTGGCTGGGTGTGGTGGCTCACGCCTATAATCCCAGCACTTTGGGAGGCTGAGGTGGGAGGATTGCTTGAGGCTACAGTTCAAAACCAGCCTGGGAAACATAGCCAGACCCCCGTCTAAAACATTTTTTAAATAAGCCAGGCATTGTGGCACATAACTGTAATCCCAGCTTCTTGGGAGGCCGAGGTTGGAGGATTGCTTGAGCACAGGAGACCAAGGCTGCAGTGAGCTGTGATCATCACTGCACTCCAGCCTCAGTGACACAGCGAGACCCCATCTCTTTATATATATATATTTCATAAATATAAGTTGTGTATAGTAAGAATTTGGTCAGTCTTAGGCATATTTGAAATAGGTACATAAGTTTTGGTATTCCCTTCTGTTTATTTTCTATATCCCTATTTAGTAATCCATAAAAAATTGTTTAAAGATTTTAAAAACATGACTCACTGCTAAAAATCAAATGATATCATGTAATGTTTATGGCTTTTGTGATTTTGATCAGTAAGTAGAAAATGCAAAAGAAAACAAGTTATAAACAATAATCAGAAAACAATGGAGAAAATGTCATCAAAATGTATTTTTTCGTCTTTTTTTAACCATATCACAGAACCTAGCAAATTCATGTTTCAGGAGCTCTGAAAATGACCTGACAATAGGTAACAATATTTATTTATACTTCCTTTTGGGCCCAGCATTCTAGACTTTTTCTATGTTATTTATTTCCTGGAAAATATATATTTATACATTCAATGGATAACTTTCATATTTAATGGCCTTAAAATGAAATTTTTTAAAAAGATTCAGGAAGATATATATCATTTTGCTTCTGCTTCCTTAGTAAGAATTGACTTAAAAATCCATGTGCCATATATACACTACTGAATAGCCATAAAAAGGAATGAGATTGTATCCTTTGCAAGGACACAGATGAAGCTGGAAGCCATCATCCTCAGCAAACCAACACAGACACGGAAAACCAAACACTGCATGTTCTCACTCATAAGTGGGAGTTGAACAATGAGAACACGTGGACACAGGGAGGGGAACAACACACACAGGGGCCTTTCGGGGGATGTGGGGTGAGGGGAGGGAGAGCATCAGGACAAATAGCTAATGCATACGGGGCTTAAAATCTAGATTTTGATTGATAGGTGCAGCAAATCACCATGACACACATATACCTATATAACAAACCTGCTTGTTCTGCACATGTATCCTGGAACTTTAAAATAAAAATAAAAATAAAATAAAAATCTCTATGCGACATTGAGGGAGTTGTGAGGACACATACTTGACCAGACAGTGGTCTTATATTGGTGAAAAGCACATCAAGGTTTAATAACTAGGATGACTGCTGATTTTGTAGTACCTAGAAAATAAGACAAGAGACATTGAGATTTAATACTTGAGGTCCAACAACTGAAACTTTCAAGCCTGTGTGAGGTAATTAGTTAGTCTGTGGTAGTGAAGAAGTGTTCTGCTTAGGGAGAGATTTATTTTTAAGTTTTTTGTGTATATGGAAGAATCATAGCCTAAACACAAATTTAAGATATTATTATTCATGAATTTGCTTCTTTTTCAAAGTTACTGTCATTTTGGGAAAAAAGTGTAAACTGATAATATCATACATAATAATTATGTTGTATAAATAATAATTTATATTTTAGAATTATCTTCCTAAACCAGTTCAAGTTAGCCATTGATGTGACATAGATTAGAGAAAGTAATACTATAAAAAAATTATGTAATAAATGCCAAATAAAATAATAAATACAAGATAGATCATGGCTAACTACCTTACTTTTGTGGTTTTTGCTTAGAAGAAAATCTACAGAGAAATATATTTCACAGGTTGTCTATTCTAAATTAAAGTAGCTATGAATAAATAGTCCCAGAGATAAGCAGTAAATCCTTTACCAAATTTTCTGTGTCCTGCAATTTATATTTTAAGGTTATTTTGCATGATAAAACTGTAACATTGTTTTAAAATTGAGTAAAATGACACAGTGTTAAATATTTTCACTTGAGCACAAAAATTTTTTGAATATAACACGGTATTTAAATATAGTTTAGAATTTTATATGATGTAGTGATTATAGACAGAACAGTAACAGTTGTATAAGGTAAATACTAGTAACTTTAAACGGTAATGATGGATGCCTCTGTTTATGGTTTATTTCCCATTGAAATTTCTTAAGGAAATGTTATATTTGCTGATGATTTCACTAGATGGTACACACATTCACACAAAATTATCTTCTGTCATTATTAGGAGTAAATATGAAGACGTTTTAGGCAGTCATCAAATATAACTTTTACATACAAAGAATGAAGCATAAATAGCCAGTGTCTTGGTCTCCCCTCCCCTCGGTGCTTTGCACAGTGTCATAGACATAGGAGATGCTCAGTAAGAAGTGTTCTGGATTTTTTAATTCTAGCTTAGTGTGTGAAAGTGATTCCGCTCAGAATGTCCATCCCCTGTTTTACATTTCTTTCATATTCATAACTTACAGGAAAAAAGAGGTAATTAATTGACTAGGATCTTGCAGATATATAAAAGGACCCTTCTCTGTATCACACTTGGCCTTCTTATTTATGTGCAGAATTTGATTGATTTGAAACTTATCAACACTTGATACTGCAACAAATTGACAAGAATGATGTTTTAGTAAAACCAAAGAAACCAGAAATGTTGGGAGGTGTGATGTTTAATACTGAGTGCTAATTGGATTGAAGGATGTAAAGTATTGATCCTGGGTGTGTCTGTTGCTAAAGGAGATTAACATTTGAATCAGTGGGCTGGGAGAGGCAGACCCATCCTTAACCTGAGTGGCACGGGTTAATCAGCTGCCAGCACGGCTAGAATATAAGCAGGCAGAAAAATGTGAACAGAGAGACTGGCCTAGCCTCCCAGCCTACGTCTTTCTCCCATGCTGGATG
This sequence comes from Homo sapiens, assembly GCF_000001405.40. Classification (NCBI taxonomy): domain Eukaryota; kingdom Metazoa; phylum Chordata; class Mammalia; order Primates; family Hominidae; genus Homo; species Homo sapiens. The sequence goes on from NC_000006.12 coordinate 162,747,256, forward strand.
CTTCTTGCTCTAGAACAACATCGGACTCTAAGTTCTTCAGTTTTGGAACTCAGACTGGCTCTCCTTGCTCATATATATATATATATATATATATATATATATATATATACACATACATATATATGTATATATATGTATATATATATGTATATATATATATAACTATAAATATATATGTAAAACTATATATATATATAACTATAAATATATATGTAAAACTATATATATATATATATATTCCATTAGTTCTGTCCCTCCAGAGACCCCTGACTAATACAGGAGGTTATCAAAAGCATGTATCAGCACCAGTACACTGGGTATATTAGACAAAATTGAAATGCTTCTAGTGACCTACGTAGTACAAACACCAAGTTTACCCAGAGCTAATGCAGGGAAAGCCAGAATCAACCAATCAACCAGATTGAGCGAGCCAGGATAGGACTTAAGCTGACCAAGACAGAGGAGACAGTTTAAGGTGATTTCACATAGACAATAATTTTACTCAGAATCCAGACCTAGATCCCAAGGTAAACTAAGATCCAGCCAAGAGTATTAGTAATGGGAGACGGGGCTCAGGAAATGTAGAGATTCATCTTAATCCACAAATATCCTTAAAATTCTTAGTCTCCCATTAGGAGACACCTGGGCTAACATCATATTTTCTGGAAAGAAGGGAGAACATTCTGGAGTGCAGATGATAAGTGGGCTAAAAAATGATTTCAGACTGCTGTGCTGATGTTAGCACTTTTCATAACAATTTAAGTTTTACTATTCTAAAATAATTAATTCAACCTATTAATTTTACTCTATGGTTTTTTAACCATAGATCTCACCTCTCTAACTCTAGTCAATCACTCAGTGATAAGTGGCATTTGTCATTAAAGAAAGTGGGTTGGAGTGAATCTGCTGAAACGTATTAAAATATTGGAAAACCAAGTCAGAACTTGTATTCAGGGCCGGGGCTGTGGCTCACGCCTGTAATTCCAGCACTTTGGGAGGCCGAGGCAGGCAGATCACCTGAGGTCAGGAGTTTGAAACCAGTCTGGCCATCGTGGTGAAACCCCGTCTCTAATAAAAATACAAAAAAATTAGCCAGGCGTGGTGGCACCTGCCTGTTATCCCAGCTACTCGGGAGGCTGAGGCATGAGAATCGCTTGAACCCCAGGAGGCGGAGGTTGCAGTGACTGAGATCGGACCACTGCACTCCAGCCTGCGCGACAGAGTGAGACTCCATCTCAAAAAAACAAAACCAAACCAAACAAACCAAAAAACTTGTATTCAGTTTATAGTGGAAAATCCATATCATCAATTTTCCATTGTCAGATTTGAAAATCTCTTCTCAAATCAATAATTATTTTCTAAAGTATCAATGAGATTCACGCACACAGTTAACAGGTAAAGTATAGAAAATGGCTTTTCTGAACCTATCAATCCCTGACCGCAGCCTACTCCCCTCCCCCAGGTTCACATCCCTTCACCTCTACCACATTTAACCCTTTTTTATTTCAAATATTAAAATAAAACCATTTCAAATCTCTACGTATTATGCTTATACTACTACTTTTTTCAAAAGCTTAATTGAAGTATCAACAATAAACCATATATATTATAGAATGTGATAAGCCTTGACAGCAATCAAGATAATGAATATATTCATCCCCTCTTTTTAATCCCTCACACTCACTCCTTCCCCCCTTCTCCAGTTAGCCAATGATCTGCTTTCTTTTACTATCAATGAGTTTGCATTTTGTAGAGTTTACATAAATCAAATTATACAGGATGTATTTTCTATGGATCTTTTTAGTCATCAGAATTATTTTGAGATGCATTCATTTGTATGTAATACTTTATTCCTTTTTATTGCTGGAAAGGATTCCATTTATATGGATATAGCATACTTTGTTTAACCACCTGCTGTTGACTTGGGTGGTGTCCAGTGCATGATTGTTAAAAACAAGTACATACTCTGAACATTGTTGTACAAGTATTTGCATGGATGTATGTTTATCTCATTTGGCTAAATATCTGAAAGTGGACTAGCTGCACCGACTGTCAAGAAGGTGAGAGGATCAAAACTCCACCATGTCAGCTTTTCCTCGGCTGGCACATGAAGTTATTAATGGCAATAACAAGAATATCCTTGCCATCCCTGAGACATACGAAAGATCTTACAGGGATATAGTTTATACTTATTACAGAGTATGTATAATCCTGCTTATTACATGAAGATCATTCTCCTGGGGCACAAAATAAAAGGAAACATATTTCTTTTTTTATTTTTTTGAGACGGGGTCTTGCTCTGTCGCCCAGGCTGGAGTGCAATGGCGTGATCTCAGCTCACTGCAACCTCCACCTCCCGGGTTCAAGGGATTCTCCTGCCTCAGTCCCCTGAGTATCTGGGACTACAGGCATGCACCACCATGCCCAACTGATTTTGTATTTTCAGTAGAGATGGGGTTTCGCCATGTTGGCCAGGCTGGTCTCGAACTCCTGACCTCAGATGATCTGCCCGCCTCGGCCTCCCAAAGTGCTGGCATTATAGACGTGAGCCACCGCACCCAGCCAAGGAAACATATTTCTTACTGTAATAAGTGTAAACTGTATCACTGAATATAGTAATACTTTCATATTATGGGAACATTCACCATTGATTTATATATGCTATTAAATACATAGTTTCTATAGAAGCTTTATTGAAATGTCATCAGATTATGAAAACCAAATCCCCATAATTTTTCCACTCATGTATATTTACATTTGCATTCACTGTCTCCATTGTTGATTACCCAATGTGTACTGATGTTTCTCCTTACAAACTATGATAGTACTTAACATTTTGCTTCATTTGTTGATACTGATTTGTTCCGTGTACATAAAACTTAAATTTATGTCTGCCTTCACTTATTTTCTTTCAAAGATACCTTAGGAGTCTTTCACATTTTATAAGAAACCATAAATTTTATTTCAGCCTTAGGCCAACCGCTGGCTTTCTTGCCAACCTAGATGCATATATGCAATTTAGTCTGTGAGTTTTGAAAATTTGAATGATAGCACATTAAACTGGAATAATGAACCAATAAAAGTTTTTATGGCATTTGGAAAAATTACTTCTCAAACATTCACACTGTCATTTTACTCATTAAAATTATTCTAGGATCATAAGTTAGACCATGTATTCCTAAGGCTTGAAAAATCAACAGATTATTTCTAATGATCATTGATTTGACCTGACTGCAGGATGATAAAATCTTATTTTGGAAAGCTAGACTAGGCATTTGTAATTATATTTTCCATCTTCAACTAATAGAGTAAAATTATTGGAAACTCTTTAAGATAGTGTCCACAATGCTGTTTACAGTTTAAGTGCTATGATTTGCCACAGTTATTATCTTCATATAGTCACTGCCAGTGTGTGACATTGGGTTTCATCAGTAAATAAGACTACTGCCACAACTTCAGAGGGTTTTCAGAGAGATTAAATTAAATGTTATTGTGAAGTACAAGGTACTTGCTCAGCAATATGGAAGTCACAGGTATTATGTGCTCAGATGGTAGGTAGTTTTGTATTTTTCACAAATCTATTAACATATAATTGTCCTGTCCTATAAACCAGACCTTTAGGGATTTTATAGGATTCTAATCTTTTTCTTGATGCTTTAGCCACTAGTGGTCGTGAGTTACGTGCTCAGGAAGGCATGTGAATGCTTATGAGTGAGTAAGGTACTATTCATGTTTGTCTAATGACTTCATTGGCCTTTACCTTCGTTTACAAATGCACTTAATTCAATAAGGAAGAGTCCTTCTCCTGAAGGTTTTACACTAGTCAAAGATGTTTCCAAGCCATATACATTATTTTTATTTGTGTTTATGCATATGATACAAGCCATTTTAGAAATGATTTTTTTTTTTACTCTTTAGAAAGCACTTCAGAGTTAGCATAACATCTAACCATATTGGTATTTCTGTTTTCTGTTATAATGAGTGAGGATGATCCTTATTTTTAAAAGAAGTAATAAAAAATCAAAGAAGAAAAAATTTCATATCTAAGCATTTTAGATTATAATTTGGCAACTGTGCATTAATCCAAACAAATAGAGCCTACTGAGATTATTCATGTTCCCATTAGTCACTCACATATTGGTGTCTAATTGTCATTTGTTTCTGCTGTAATTCAGTTCAACTGATGTAATTAAATACCATTCATCTAGCAGCAGTTCTGAAATCTTTTTTTTTTGTAAGACATGATAAAAAGTATGAGTTTTCTATAAAATCAAGTTTACATTCAGTTGGAAATTTTCCTTTTAAGTTCTTATTCTCAAACTTAATTGTCAATATCAAATAGAGCTTCTCAGATGAGGGATATAGGCTAATTTCAAATTTTCTCTGAACTACAAATATGCTCTTCATTTTCTCTAGTCTAGGCCTAAATTGCTGTGCTTGCATTTGTAATCAGAAATTGATTGTGTTACTGTGGAAACTGGAAGAGTGTATTGCTGGTTAAAGAAAAATGTGGTAGAAGAACTGCTGTTATTATAATTGTCTGCCATCTTAAATGCCTATCATTTTGAACAATACATTGATAACATTTTCACACTCCAACCCCAAAATGCTTCTCTCCAGAACACTGCTTTGTGGTCAGTATTAGTCTTCTGTATCGATCTGACATAAAATGCCTTGGTCACATTTCTAATTTGTTTCTATGTTGAACTATAATTTTTACATGGAATGAAATTAGTTTCCATTTTATTCATACTTACATGGCACATCTTAGGGAAAAAACATGAAGTATGGTAAAATATCAGTTATTTAGAAGCCAGTCATCTGAAACATTTCAACTTCTGACCAAGAAGACACGAAACAAGTTCCAAAAATTCAGATGAAGAATTTTTAACATCTGATGCTAAAGACAGCCTCGAAGAAGCAAAGCTCTATTTTACACACATACACACACATGCACACACACGCAAAGCAATATTATGCATTTTACTGTGTGAAAGCAAAGATGAACTCTGTTTTTAAAAAGTTTGCCTTTTGTATATGAGAGGCAAGTATGTGAAGACTGACCAAAAGAATGAAGAGGAAATCAAAACCAGGAAGAGGAAAATGACCCTCAGTAGAGGCAAGAGTTGGGGGAGTTAGGATTGGAGATTTCCAGCACATATTCTGTTGGACCAGTATCCAGTAACATCAAGTTCCTGGAATTTTCTGGAGGTTTCCATTGCTTTCCTGATTGTGACAAGGACAAATGCAGAAAATTATCTGTGACTTTATAGTTTAATTAAAATATTCCCAAAGCCCCACAAGTCTTGTCTTAGGAAACCAATGTTTCCCAAAAGGCATCAACCTGCTGAAAAAGGTTAACAGAACATAGCATCTATGTACTTTAAACCCTGGCTGAAAAGAGACTGAATGTGGTGGCACACTTTAGCTCTAGAGTGTTGAGGACGAGAATAATGTTGTAGTTACTTTAGTTTGATTTTCGTATGTAGTACCAGACACTAAACAAATCTGCTTTAGCAGAAAAATATTAAAATACATAATAATATGTGTGACATAGTCTAAATAATGCATTGCCTGTTTAATGTATTGTTGAGATTTGTATGCTAGCTCTTTGGATCCTCCTGGCTTGGGTTCTTCATTCCACCATATACTTTATTTTTCTTTAGGCTTTTATGTATTTATGTATTTATTTATTTTTATTTAAAACTTATTAATGTTATTTTGATTCACAAACCATAATTCTATCATTTTGGGGGCACAATGTGATGTTTTGATATATGTATACAATGTGGCATGATTAAATCAAGCTAATTACATATTCATCATCTTGCTCACCATTTCTTATGGGGAGACACTTGAAATTTACTCTCTTACTTTGAAATACATAACACATTATTATTGATTATAGTCATCCTGCTGTGCAGTAGATCTCAAAATATGTTTCTTCTTTCTACCTGAGACTTTGCACCCTTCGATCAACAACTCCTCATTCCCTCCCTCTCCACCCCCACCCCACCTCAGCCTTTAGTAGCCATGATACTTCCTACTTCTATGAGTTCAACTTTGTTATAGTCTACATAAACCTGAGAGCATGTGGTATTTTTCTTTCTATGCCCTGATAATTTCATGTAGCATAGTGTCCTCCACATTCATCCATGTTGTTGCAAATGACAGCATTTTGCTCTTTCTTAAGGCTGAATAGTATTACATTTAATTTATATCGCAATTTTTTATCCATTTGTCCATTGATGAACACTTAGGTTGATTCCATGTCTTGACTATTGTGAATGATATGGTTTGGCTCTGTGTCCCCACCCAAATTCATCTCGAATTGTAATCTCCATGTGTCAGAGGAGGAACCTAGTGGGAGATGATTGGATCATGGGAGATAATTCGATCATTCCCCCATGCTGTTCTCATGATAGTGAGTGAGTTCTCATGAGATCTGATGGCTTAAAAGTGTGTAGCTTTTTTCACTCTCTCTCTCTCTGTCTCTTTCCTGCCACTATGTAAGACATGCCTTGCTTCCCCTTCACCTTCTGCCATGATTGTAATTTTCCTGAGGCCTTCCCAGCCATGCAGGAGTGTGAGTTAATTAAACCTCTTTTCTTTATAAATTACCCAGTCTCAGGTAGTTCTTTATAGCAGTGTGAAAATAGACTACTACAGTGAATAATCCTGCTATGAACATGGGAGTGCAGATATCTCTTTGACATATTGATTTCAGTTCCTTATGATGTATACTCAGAAGTGGGATTACTGGGTCATATGGTAGTTCTGTTTTTAGTTTATGGCAGAATCTTCATACCATTTCTCATAATGGCAATACTAATTTACATTCCCCTCATCAATATGTAAGAGCTCCTTTTTCTCTGCATCTTCCCCAGAATTTGCTTTCTTTCATTTTTTGATACAAGCCATTCTAACAAATGTAAGGTGATATCTTTTTGTTTTTAATATGCATTTTCCAAATGATTAGTGATGCTGAGAATTTTTTCATATACTTGTCAGCCATTTGTATCTCTTTTTTTGAGAAATGTCTGTTCAGGCCCTTTGTCCAATTTTTAATCAGGTTATTTGTTTTCTTGCTTTGAGTTGTTTGAGTTCCATATACCATCAGATGTATGGTTTGCAAATATTGTCTCCCATTCTGTGGGTTGTCTCTTCGGTTTGTTATTGTTTCCTTTGCTGTGCAGAAACTTTTTAGTTTGATGCCATCCATTTGTCTATTTTGCTTTTCCTTTTATTGCCTGTGCTTTTGGAGTTATATCCAAAAAATAACTGCCCAGACCAATGTTGTGGAGCTTCCTCCCAGTGTTTTCTTCTAGTTGTCTTACCCTTTCAGGTCTTATAGTTAAGTTTTTTTTTTTATCTCTTTTGAGTGATTTTTACATATGATATAAGAGCCTAATTTTATTCTTCTGCATGTGAATATTCAGTGGTCTCAACACCATTTATTGAAGAGATTGTATTTTCCCCATTGTGTGTTCTTGGTACCTATTTCAGAAATCAGTTCGCCATAAATGCATGGGTTTTCATGTCTGTTTTTATGGCAGTACAATGTCATTACGTCAATTTTTTGGAAGAGTTGGAGAAGTATTGGTGTTAGTTCTTTAATTGTTTTGTAGAATTCCACAGTAAAGCCATCCAGTGCTGGGCTTTCCTTTGGTGGGGGACTTTTACAGGCATGTAAAAGTCTTATTCAATCTCTTTACTTACTACTGGTCTGTTCAGATATTCTATTTCTTCATGATTCAGTCTTGGAAAGTTCTATGTGTCTAGGAATTTATCCGTTTCTTCTAGATTATACAGTGTGTTGGCATATAATTTTTCATACTGGTTTCTTATGATCCTTTGTATTTTTGTAGTATCATTCGTGATGTCTCCTCTTTCACTTGTGATCTTATTTATTTGAGAAAGCTTTCTTTTTTTTCTAATTCATCTAACTAAGGGTTTGTCAATTTTGTGTATCTTTGCAAAAACCTGTTAGTTTGGTTGTTTTTAAATTATCTTTTAGTTTCTAATTTGTTTATTATTTATTCTCTGATCTTTGTCATTTTCTTTCTTCTGCTAATTTAGTGGTTGGTTTGTATTTCTCTTTTTAGCTCCTTGAGGTATGACATTAGATTGTTTATTTCTTCTTTTTCTTCTTCCTCCTCCTCCTCCTTCTTCTTCCTTTTCCTCTTCTTCTATTTTTTGAGACAGAGTCTTGCTCTGTTGCCCAGGTTGGAGTGCAGTGGTGCAATCTCGGCTCACTGCAACCTCTGCCTCCCTGGTTCAAGTGATTCTCCTGCCTCAGCCTCCTGAGTAGCTGGGATTACAGGCACCCGCCACCATGCCCGGCTAATTTTTATATTTTTAAGTAGAGACGGGGTTTCACCATGTTGGTCAGGCTGGTCTTGAATTCCTGACCTCAAATGGTCCACCCACCTTGGCCTCCCAAAGTTCTGGGATTACAGGCATGAGCCATGGCACCTAGCCCTTTCTTCTTTTTTTGATATGAACACTTATCACTATAAATTTCCCTTTCGGGACTGCTTTTGCTTCATTCCATACGTTTTGGTGTGTTGTATTTCCATTTGCATTTGTCTCAAACATTTGTCACAAAATGTTTTTTTTTAATTTCCTTTTTTTATTTCTTCTGTGACCCAGTGGTGTTCAAGGAGCATATTGTTTAATTTCTGCATATTTGTGTATTTTTCAAGATTTTTTCTCATCCATTTCTTGTTTCATGCCATTGTGATCTGAAAAAAATACTTAATATTATTTCAGTCCTCTTAAATTTGTTAAGTTTGGTTTTGTGGCCTAACATGGTCTATCCTGAAGAATGTTAGATGATCACTTGAGAAAAATGTATATTCTGCTCTTGTTGGATGGAATGTTCTGTTTATGTCTGTTAGATCCATTTGTTTTAAAGTTTAATTCAAGTCCAATGTTTCTTTATTGATATTCTGTTTAGATAATCTATTCATTGTTGAAAGTGGCGTATTAAGGTCCTCTACTATTATAGTATTGCAGTCTTTCTTTTCCGATTATTTAATAATTGCTTTCTGTATATAGGTGCTCTAATATTGGGTGCAAATATATTTATAATTGTTAGGTCTTCATGGTGAACTAACCCCTTTATCATTATGTAATAATCTTCTCGTCCCTTTTAATAATTTTTTTTACTTAACGTCTACTTTGTGTGTTATAAGTGTAGCTACTTCTGCTCACTTTCAGTTTATATTTGCATGAAATATCTTTTTCCAGGCCTACATTTTCAGTCTATGTGTGTCATGACTAGTGAAGTGACCCTCTTATAGGCAGCATGTGGTTGGATCTTTTTTTAAAAATTTATTTAGATTCTCTGAGTCTTTCTATTGGGTAATTTAATCCATTTACATTTAAGGTAATTATTGCAAGGTAAGGGCTTGCTATTGCCATTTTGTAAATTTTTTTTATTGTTGTTTTGTAGTTCCCTTTTTACTTTCTCTCTTGCTATCTTTCTTTGTGGTTTGATAGTTTTCTGTGGTTGTATGCTTTGAGTCCTTTTTAAAAGTAATTTGTAGAATTATTCTATTTGCTTCGTAGTCACCATGAGACTTACATAAATATCTTTTCCTTATAAGAGGCCACTTTAAGCTGAGAACAACTTTCCTATAATTGCATGTAAAAACTCTAAAACACTCTTTACAATACAACCTTTATCATAGATTAAATACTCATATATTCTTGGATTTTTTTTTCTGGACTCACGATTCTGTTCTACTGTCTATTTTTCTATTTCTGCAACAATACTATTTTGCCTTGCTTATTGTGAATTTATGTTCTATGTTGCTATTTATTATAAATATCAAAATTTTGTTATAGTTTTACTTTATATTTTCTTAATATGATCAATGCAATGTTCTATTTCCAGTTTATTTGAAGTTTAAATCTTAACTAGGTGTTAACTGTTGAGGTGATCATCAGTTTGCTAATATTTTGTTTGTGAATTTTATATTTGTGTTCATAATTGATACTGATCTATAATTTTTATTTGTATATTATTCTTTTTGAATATCACTGTCTACTGTGAAAATAAAACTGGCATTAGAAGATTAAAGAAACATTATATAAATATAACATGGGGGCCACACACTGTGGCTCACGCCTGTAATCCCAGCACTTTGGGAGGCTGACATGGGTGGATCACCTGAAGTCAGGAGTTTGAGACCAGCCTGACTAACATGGTGAAAGATGAGCAGATCACCTGAGGTCAGGAGTTCGAGACCAGCCTGACTAACACAGTGAAACCCTGTCTCTACTAAAAATACAAAAATTAGCCGGGCGTGTTGGTGCACACATGTAATCCCAGCTACTTGGGAGGCTGAGGCAGGAGAATCGCTTGAACCTGGGAAGTGGAGTTTCAGTGAGCTGAGATGGTGCCACTGCACTCCAGCCTGGATGGCAGAGCGAGACTCTGTCTAAAAAATAAATAAATAAATAAATAAAATTAAAATAAAACATGGTTGCTACACATGCATGAGGAAGTAAGATACATTGGCTTGACTAATGCATAAAATACACTGGATATCAATAATAAAAAGACCAATATTCTGTAGAAAAATATGAGAAAGAGATATGAATAGGCAATTTACAGAAATGAAAACAAGAATGGCCCCCAAAAATATGAGGGTGAAAAATACCATGTCAAATGAAATGAAAATTATACTCGAATTATTCTCTCCTATGAGGTTGTCAATAGTACGAAAGTCTGAAAACTTACTTTAATGGCAATGCTGTAGGAAATCAGGCACTCTCATACATTTCTGGTGGGAGTGCAAGTTGGTATTAATTTTATGGATGGAAAATGTTGAACATCAATTAAATATAAACCAAATTAAAAAGATATAGTGGCTTGGGTGTCCAAATACTACAGTTTTATTATTAGCTTTCTTATCTGACAGCCGTGTAAGATTTTACATGTCATTATTTTTCTTGATCTATTACCTTTTTTAAAATGAACTATTTGAAATGTGTAATTTTTATAGACTTTACAAGCTCTAGACTCTAGTGATATATATATGTCACACAGCTGATATCTGCACATGACCCTAAATATGCATAAATTTATGTTATCCATGAATGAAAGAACGGCTCTTTTTCTTAATTTCTTTTTTCTTGACTATAGCATATTTTCATCCTGTGTATAGGATTTACAAATCAGTTTTTACCTGATTTTGAACTGTTCCATCTTCAACCAGTTGCCATATGACTACTTGGTTCATTATTTGTGGTACCATTTTTGTAGATAAAAATATGTAGATGATAATATGGGTTTGTTGTGCATATTCAGAAGCACTGTACTGTAATCATTAAGAACATGGACAAGAGAGCCAGATTACCTGGCTTGGAAATCCCAGATATACTATCCATGTGCTGAGTGCATTGGTTCATCTCTTTCACAGTTTTCTCACCTATAAAAGAGGTTAATAAGAGTGTATGCCTCCTGGGGCTATGAGGATTAAATAATCTATTCAAAACACTAAGACCATTACCTGCTAAATATACATTTGCTATTTTTATTCATATGAGGATATAGATGTCTATATCATGAATTGAAAATAAGCCATTTTTTTGAAAAGCAGTATACATTTCTGAAGTCTTGAACATGAATAATATTTAAGCATATTTCACTAAAAAATGACATGATTTTGACCCACTATATAAAAAATTATAAGATTTTGGAAAGTTCTTCATATTGTAGTGTTTAAAGACTTGAAACCCAGTGTTTCTAGCCATTGAAGAAAACTTAGACTACTTCTGCATAAATTGACATGGAATTGCCTTTATTATTGATCTGAATAAAGTGGGTGGAGGAACATTCATCTGATGAGGAGAAGCAGCTCCCTAGAACACAGAGATATTCAGATGTTTTCCACTATTTACAATTCATCTTGTTTATTAACCTTTAAAAGCAGATTCCGTTGAAGAAAACAAATTGGCACTACAAGGAGTAAGAATGCTTTTGTTAGTGAGGGACTCACAGTGCCTTTCCAATTCATACATTGTCTTCTGATGAGTGTGGGTATTGGGCTAGAATTTTGGCATCTGAAAGTACATCTATGTGAGCCGTGGCTCACATAACCATGGCTGTAGGTTATGTGAGCTGTGAGAATTTTCAAATTACCTCAGACTTCTGAGAATATTCTTGGTCATTGAGAAAATAAGCAGTAATAAATGCTCCAGATTCACATCCACATCTCACAATGTTGAAAGAATAGTGGGTATCATTTATTTAAATGAATTTTACAATATGCTTACTCCATTATTTCATTTTCTTAGGAATTATTCTCCCAGCTTTACTAATAGTTGTGGTGACTCATATCTTTCTCACTACTTTGACCAGGTCTGAATATACTTTGGGGTACAAGAGATGTGTATTCGTTGGCTATATAAAGGTGGTCGATCTGCTAAGGAATCTTAGATGGCCAGAGTTACTGGAAATTCACTCAATAGAATGGGTGATTATATAGGAACTATTATTTTTGCTGTTAATATAAATGCATCTTCAGGTATATTATTTGTGTTTGACACACTGTTCTAAAAGTCCGATATTAGGACTGTTTTTCTTAAAAATAAATATTCAAATATTTATGATTGTGCCTTAGCTATGGTTGCCAGAAATAGAGCCTGAAGCAGGAATTGTGTGCATAGATTTGTGCAAGGAGCAAGTGAAGCAAGAGGGCAGAGAGAAGATGAGCAAGGATATGGCTTCAAGTAAAGTTGAGCCTCAACTTGATCCCACAAACAGATTATACCAAAGTTTCATTCCTGATTGATTTGAGGCAAAGGAGGGAGGCTTGGTACACGAGAGCTCTTCTTGCAGCAGTCAGTCGTCGGCTACTGATCTGACTACTCCAAGTGCGGTGTATGACTCCCAGGTGCCTCTAGGCAAGGCTACTCCAGTATGCTAAGCACGATCCTTCAGAAAAGGTTACAGGTGTCAGCTGTCAGCCATGGCACACACAGGAGTCCCTGGGATCTACATGGGACATCAACATCCAAACATAAACAAAGGCAGCACTTTCATCACATCACATGTGGACTACTGCAGATGGAGTCAGCTCTGTGGTGATCAGCAGAAGGGGATTTCAGGCTGACTGAAGCACCAGGCCACGCTGTCAGAGGCAGGAGTGAGTGTCTAATGTTTAAGGAGCATTGTGAGAGGATCCTTGTGAGAGAAGGGGGACAGTGGCAGATGAGGAGCTCAGGGAAATAGGAAAGAACCAGGGTACCAAGAGACTTGTGAGCCAAACTAGGCGCTTATGTTTTATGTGTCAGGCAAAGCCGATGGGGGTGTGTGATGGTTTGATGTGATGGAGGAACCACACGGAGGTCAGTGTGGCTGGAGGAAAGTGAGCCAGGTAGAGCTGAGATGGTAGGAACTGAGATGAGATAGTGGGACGTTTAGAAAGTGTGAGGCTGTAGAGGTCTTGGGAAGGCCTTTGGCTTTTACCTCTTTTTCCCCAGGTGGGACGGGCCGTTGAAGGATTTTAGGGTGGCAGTGACATGGTGAAAGGATCACTCCAGATACTCCGCCCAGAGTATACCATTGTGCTCTGTGGTGAAACAGGGAGACCAGTTAGGAGGATTTTTGCAGTGGTTGAGGCAAAAAGAGATGGGGACTCAGATGAGGGTTGTCATAGTGGAGATGTGGAAATGTGAATAAATTCAGGGTAGATGGTCTAACTGCCAGCACTTACTGATGGCTTGGCCGGGCAGGGTCTAGGGATTTGTGGGATCACATAGCAGAGTAGAATCTTCTGGCCTTCTTTCTGGCCACTCTTCACCACAGGGCCCAGTGTCCTCATGGTGGCTGATGCCCCAGCCCGCCTCGTGTGATTAGATAGGATAGATCAGATTTCCCTACCACATGTGCCCCTAGAAACTCAGATTCCTCTGTTTAACCCAAGCAAAGCCATTTAGCTCCCCACCTTATCCCTGAGTCCAACTCTGCTTATCCAGAAATGAATTATTTGTTGGCAGTGCTAAACAAAATGCCATCTGTGGTTGGGTCTTAACCCTGTAGCAATATAGATGAGCTGAGCTGGTAGAAGTTGTAAAAATTATATTTCTTTTTTATTTCTTACTACAATTCTTTTTAAATATAAAGGCGCAGGATCACGATTTATTTGCTTGTCAGTATGGAGTATTCTATTCCCTTTAGAAAGCATAGGAAGTTTTGGTTTTGCATGTCTCAGTCTGCTCTACTGTCTGTGCTATGCAGTGTGCCAGTTATATCTCTTTTAATATTAGAGTCCCATGTATTAGATGATAATATTCTAATCTTATAGGTGGAGAATTTGAGTCACAAGGGTTAAGTGACTTGCTGAAGATAAAACACCCAGTAGAGTGAATTTCAAAACCTGAGTGAGGCTGGGCACGGTGGCTCACGCCTGTAATCCCAGCACTTTGGGAGGCTGAGGCAGGCAGATCACGAGGTCAAGAGACCAAGACCATCTTGGACAACATGATGAAACCCCGTCTCTACTAAAAGTGCAAAAATCAGCTGGGCATGGTGGTTCACGCCTGTAATCCCAGCTTCTCGAGAGGCTGGGGCAGGAGAATTGCTTGAACCAGGGAGATGGAGGTTGCAGTGAGCCGAGATAGCACCACTGCACTCCAGCCTGGTGACACAGCGAGACTCCATCTCAAAAAAAAAAAAAAAAAGAAACCCCCCCCCAAAAAAAAACCCCTGAGTGACACTAAATTTACATGTTATAAAGTCTCTAAACATTCAAAGAAACAAGCAGATCTAATGCCAAGTTCCACGTGGGCAGGGAGCTCTGCTGTCATGTTCATTGTATCACCATCCTTGATGACATTAACTGGACTTTAGTAGGTTCTCAATAAATAATAAATCAAGTGAATGAGGCATTGTCCGTGTGGCACTGGAAACATGGAGGAAGGAGAACTTAATCCTGATGGGGAGCTTTGGTAGATGTGGTATTTCAAGGGCTCTCTAAAACCAAGAAAGAGTTCAGCAGGTTGAGAATGGAAATCCTTTTACTCCAAGGTAAGAATACACAGTGAAAAAAGCCAAAGAGTTATGTAAGGCATGTTTCTCTTCTGTGGAACAAACATTGGGAATTGACATTAGAGAGCTCATCTATGATGGATGGCTTAGGACCTTGACCTCCTTGTTAAGGAGTTTGTACTTCATCTCTGTCCACACAGGTGAGCCTTTGGGGGTGTTAAGGAGTGAGGATCATGAGGTACCTGGGATTCCTTTTCTTTAGTGTTGTACTCGTGATTTTTAGCTTAAAAGGCCAGAAGTGTATAGGGATTTTTAAAAAAGGCTTTAGAAAACGATGTCTATTTTGGTCATAACAGCACTTAATATGGCAGGGATAACCATGGATGTTGACTTTGCGTTCTTTCATTATGCATGCTATTTCACATTATGTGAATAGGTGGTTATTTGTATCTTGTTGCATGCTAAATATATCAGATTTAAAAATCAATTTTACATATAGAACACTGACTAATCAATTTAGGAAGCAGATTAGTTTTGCGTTTTTCAGAGCTCTATTGATTTGATTATAATGTTGTTTTACAACAAAGTATAACTTTGATTTATGTTCAGATGTTAAGTATTTATACTAGTTTACCATATATGTGCACTATGTTGTTTCTTTAATGACACTGAATGGGCCAGGTTTTCACTTTAATGGCATTTAGGAATACATTTAACTAAAAACATCCACTCAAATGCACGTGGGTTATGTTTGCATGAAATCAATTAATGATCCTGGCAGGTTCTGTGTTTTTCTAAATTTTAGGACTTGCCTCACACAAATCAGAAGTATCCAGACTTTCAAATTTACAATATCCATTCAAACTTGAAATGCCCTTGATTAATAAAAATACATGTGACAGGAGAGTATAGCTCTGCTTTTAAGCTGTTAGAGAGAACATAAAATGATTATGGCTTGCAGTAAATGTTATTATGGACCTGAGATGTTTCCTCAGGGATTCAGCAATCTCCTGCACTTTCTTTAAGACTGACCCTCTCTCCTTGAGAAGCAGCAGGAAGGAGGGATGTGGAGGCAAGACCGCTGTCAGGTCACCTGTCACAACGCTGACAAGGCTCTGATATAAAACCTAATTTACAGTTGAAGAAGCACATCCATTATCCTTCTGATTTTAAAATAGAACATACATCAGCAAAATGATAAAAGAAAGTGCTTAAGAATTATGAATGTCAAGGACTATTTCCTATCATAAAGTCACAACCCTTTTTGAATATTACCTTAAATTATAGCAGAGTTTAACGATATTCACAGGCTCTGTTCTCTGAAAATGAGTATCACAGTATTTCAACTATTGATAAGCTAATAATTGTGTATTAACTATCGACTGTCTTTGAGATCAAGATCTAGGTAGATGGTGGCATCAGTATTTAGATATTTCTTTATGAAATAGATGTGCACCAGAACTTTGCTACAAGGACTTAAATAATGAATTATTTTCTGTTGACTTATATTAAAAGTACAGCGTTGTTTTATCTTCATTTATAATTAACCTTCAGTCGGCCATGTTTCTTCCTTATTCCTGATTCATCTTTTTCCTGTTATTCTCAACTAAAGACGGATATCAAACAAATCCTGGAATGTATTTTTAAAAACTCGACTATCTTCTTGAAGTGAAAATAAACTGTTAAAGTGTCTGCTCTAAGACCTTGGATTTTCTTTTAAAATGGGGTGCTCCAGGCCCGGCATGGTGGCTCACGCCTGTAATTCCAGTATTTTGGGAGGGCGATGTGGGCAGATCACGAGGTCAGGAGATCGAGACCATCCTGGCTAACATGGTGAAACCCCGTCTCTACTAAAAATACAAAAAATTAGCCAGTTGTGGTGGCACACACCTGCAGTCCCAGCTACTCCGGAGGCTGAGGCAGGAGAATTGCTTGAACCCAGGAGGCGGAGGTTGCAGGGAGCCAGGATTGTGCCACTGCACTGCATCCTGGGTGACAGAGCGAGACTCCATCACAAAAAAAGGGGGGAGGGGGAGTTGCTCCATATTATTGTCATCATAAATTTCATTGCAAAAATTATGTATTTTAATAATTGGTGTTATGGATTAGATAATTTTAATCTTTTTAGCATTGTTTTAATATTTTCTTATAACTGAATCAACACAAATTTAAATGATTTATAATGGGCTAATTTATTAGAATAATATTTGAGATTTCACAATTTAGAAGCAGAAATGTTGAAATAGCCTATTCTAGCAAAAACTCAGCATTATCCTTAAATTACCCATGTCCATATTTAGAGATAGAAGATATAATTTCTTATCTATTAACTATTTTCTGCTTTTAAAACTAATTGTTCTTCCCATCTCTGCTATATTTGAATGGACTATCCTTAGATTGTCTTCTTCATGTCTGAGAATTTTATATTTAAATATATGTTTAATATACAAGTAAGAACAGACATTAAAAAAACCTCTGGAATCCAAACTTTTTTTTTTTTTTGAGACAGAGTCTTGCTCTGTTGCCCAGGCTGGAGTGCAGTGGCATGATCTCGGCTCAGTGCAACCTCTGCTTCCTGGGTTCAAGCGTTTCTCCTGCCTCAGCCTCCCTAGTAGCTGGGATTACAGGCACCTGCCACCACACCCGGCTATTTTTTTTGTATTTTTAGTAGAGACGGGGTTTCACCATGTTGGTCAGGCTGGTCTTGAACCCCTGACCTCGTGATCTACCCACCTCAGACTCCCAAAGTGCTGGGATTACAGGCGTGAGCCACCGTGCCCGGCCTGGAAACCAAACTTTTACATTTATATTCATATATACATACCTATTTATCATCATCATCATCATCATCTTGTTCTCTCTACCTATCTATTCATAAATCTATTATCTATCTTTGTATCTACTTACCTACCTACCTGCTTGCCTGAATATTAGTCCTATCTGAGCCAACAAGGCTAAGATGCATTTTGAATTTGACTCTTGGCCTTTTGTAAGTCTGCCAATTGTAGAATAAATGTCCAGCACGCATGCTAAGGCCTCCTTATTCAAGGGAGAGGGAAACCCTTGAAAACATTTTACTCTACTCTGACTCAGTACCCAGTACTATTTTCCAGTGCAACTCTACCCCCTTTCCTCGCCCCCAACTAAACCCTCCAGGTCCATAAAACTGTGGGAGCCTTTTGTTTATGGCTCTCTCAACAGTGAGACCACGTCTACATCTGCTGATCCACTTGACCGGTGACCTGTGTCCATTCCATGTGGGAACATGGAAAAGGGAGAGTCAGAGCTTTCTTGATTTTAGCCTCTTGTTTGTACCATTATCGTAAGTGATGGTAACATAGTGGTACCAGTTTGGATGTATTTTAGATTTTTCTCTTCTAGAAGAGCTATTAAGATTAAAATAATCTCTTTTTCTCAAAATTTTGTAGAACATTTCTGGAGCATTTCGGGGGGCATTTCTTTAGATAAACATGTATAACTATTTAATATTTTATACAGTGATTGGATTCTTTAAATGCTAATTTTGTAGAACATTTCTGGAGCATTTTTGGGCATTTCTTTAGATAAACACATATAACTATTTAATATTTTATACAATGATTGAATTCTTTAAATGCTATGGGAGTATTCAATCTTGGTGTTTCTTCTTTTTTCTTTTTTAAGAAGTTTTATTTTATTTTTAGTTGACAAATAATATTTGTGTATACTTACAGAGTACAATGTCATGTGTCAAGATATGTGGATACACTGGAATGATCAAATCAGGCTCATTAGCATATCTGTCACTCAACTATTTATCATTTCTTTGTGGTGAAAACATTTAAAATTCTCTCTTTAGCTATTTAAAAATATGTAATACATTATGATTAACTATAGTCACAGTGCTGTGCAGTAGGACACCAGAAATTACTCCTGCTACCTATCTGAAACTTTGTCCCCATTGACCAACGCCTCCTCTTTCCCTGCCCAGCCTCTGGTAACCACCATTCTACTCTCTAGTTCTATGAGCTTGACATTTTTAGATTTCACATGCAAGTGAGTGCATATGGTATTTGTTTCTCTGTGCCTGGCTTATTTCGCTTGATGTTTTCTAGGTTTACCTTTCTCATGTTGTCGCAAATGATAGAATTTCCTGTTTATTTTAAAAATGGAATAGCATTCCATTGTGTATTTATACCACATTTAAAAAAATCTATTGATGGACCCTTAGGTTGCTTCCATATCTTAGATCTTGTGAATAATTCTGCAATGAACAGAGGAGTGCAAACACCTTTTCAATGTACTGATTTGAGATCCTTTGTGTTTATACCCAGAAGTGGGATTGCCAGATCATACGATAATTCTGTTTTTGTTTCTTGAATCTATTTTGTTTCTTGAATCTCCATAATGTTTTCAAAATGGCTGTACGAATTTTGATATTTCTTCTTGAGTCAGTTTTCTAAGTTATATTTTTCTAAAGATTTTTAATCTGAATTTTCAAATTGGTTGCATAAAATTATTTAATATGTTCATATTTTAAATTTCTGATCTATCTGTGATAGAAATTAAGTCGGGCATCTAACTCAGTAGTTTTTCTTTTCTAAAAAATGTAAATATAAAAGGCTATAAATTTCCTTCTAAGTACTGATTCTCACACTTTTTTTCTATAGTATGTTCTTTACTGTTCAGTTTGTGAAATTTTTAAATTTGCATTTTCGTTTATTCTTTGGCCCGTGTGTTATTTTGAAGCATTTAATAATTTTTAAATATATACAGTTTTTAAATTATTGACTTAATTGCAACATGGAAAAACACACGGAGTCTATGATATTGTGAAGACATACTTTATGGTGTAATACATGATACAGTTTTATAAGGTTTTCAGGAGTACTACAGAAGAATGTAACGTTATTGAATTGTCCATATGTTCTATATTTTATATGTGTGTATGTATGAATTTGTTCATTTAAGAGTTTTTTTTGTTCTACTTAACTATTTGACTTAGTAAAGGAGAGAGCTGGGCTAAAGTTTTCCACTGTTATGATAGATGTGCTTATTTCTTTCAGTTGTTATATATTTTTATTTCTATATTTACATAAAGTTCAGAATCATTATATCCTTCTGGTGACTATAATTTTTATCATTATGCATTGACCCTTTTTTCTCTTAAAGTGTTTCTTCTTCCTTAAAGCCTATTTGCCTTATATATCTATTTCAGCTTTCTTTTGTTTAACGTTTACTTGGAATATATTTTTCATCTTTTACTTCAATATTTTCATATCCTTAGGTGTTTTTTTTTGTTTTTGTGATTTTTTTTGGTGGCTGTCTTAAAAATAGAAAATAAGTTGGGTTTCATTTATCTTATACATTCTGACAATTTGGGGAGAATTTAACATATTTACATTTATTGTGATCATTGATATGTTTAGATTTATTTCTGCCTTATCAGTAAAGAATTTTGTTTTCTTATTCTATGACTATTTTTAAAAATTATTATTTTTAACTGATTACTTTGTTACTTATTATATGGGGTTTCCCCCTCCTTTTTGAGGATTAATACATGCTATTTCTATTCTTTTAGCCATTATTTTTGAATTTTTACTACACATATTTTCCTTAATAAAATCTAAATTTAAACTAGTTTTATTTATTTTTCAAACAGTGTAGGAAATGTTAGAATAATCAAACTGCAATCACCACTCCCCTGAATTAATCTGTGTTTTTCACTATTTTAGTTTTTTCCTTTTTAAAAATCCCACAAATTAGATGTTATGTTTATTACTTTAAATAGGTGATTGGAGAGATGTACAAGATGTTTAGCATTGTATTTGCATACCATTATTTTTGCATCTTATTCTTCTGAAATCATTTTCCTTCTTAAAGAGCATGATTTACCATTGCCTTTAATGAATATCTCCTGGTGATTAACTGTTTATGCTCAGGTGAATGTTTTCATTTTACTGTCATTTCTGAAAGATAAATATTCTGGGTATGTAATTAGAGGATAATAGTGATTGTCTCTCAGTACTTCAAATATATTATTCAACAACCTTGTGGTTTCTGTTGTTGAGAAGTCTGCTGTTTTTCTAATTATTGTTCTTTTTTTGATGATTTGCCTTTTTTCTCTGGATGTTTTTCTAATTTCCTCTGAGTCTTTTTTATCAGACAGTTTTGCTTTGATCTCTTGGCATTGATTTCACTTATTGTGCTTTCAATACATTAGAAACATTATTTATTGCATTTGGGGAATTTGGAAAATCACAGCCATTTTATTTTCAAGTATTATATCTCCTATATTTCTCTAGGACTTAGGTAACTGTTAGGCTTTCTCATTCTCTGCTCTAGATATTTTATATTTTAATTTTTAAAATATTTCAACATAATTTGTTCAGCTATATTTTCTATATTATGGATTCTCTCTTCAGCCAAGAAAGTCTAAGTTGATCAAAGTTTTTATGGACTTTTTCACTGAATTCTGAAATACTAATATATGGGGGGTGTTACCTGTCCTTCTAAAATGCCTTTGAACCTTTCTTATTTTCTTAAAGCAGATTTTCTAACTATAACCTAAATCCACACATTTGACTGACAATGCTCACTTTAAGTCCAAATTATTTTGGGAATTTAAACTCAGAAGTGAGCTTAAACTTTGATATTTGTGGGAAGACTCTCTTGGCTACCTTTCATGGCTGTTATAAACACTTCCTGTTTGTATAGCACTCTGTGCTTAACCCTGTTGATTAACTTCCTGTGTCTTACAATTGCCCATTTTTCTGTCTTAATCCAACTCTATATTGCAAACTGAGGGCTCCCTTTTCCCACCATGGTAAATGTGGAGGCAGCTTCCTGGAAGAGGCCTTGAGGTCACATCACAAACAGTAAAACAGCATATGGGGGAGAATCTCCTCGGAAGAGGACAGACTAAACTTGTAATCTGCACACCTTTTATTTAAACCCTCTCAGTATATTAAAGTCCTCCAAGAAAGACAGTTGTCATAGGGAGTGGTCTAGACATAGCCAACTTTTCCTCCATGAAAAGAATAAGCCTTTATTTTGTTCAGCCACTGGGAGTTTCGAGGTGGTTTTTTACTGCTCTAAAACCTAACTTATCCTAATACCGGGGACAAACGTTATTTACTCTGGTGACAAACATTATTTCTATTTTACAAGTGAGGATAAACTGTTAGGGAGGTTAAATTACTTGTTCAAAGCTCATACGTGTTGTAGCAAGGACTAAGTAGTCTTAGGCATAGGGCTCAGCTTTTTAAACCTACCTTGATGGTTTTTGTGCCTCGTCTATAGGGATAGTATTTTCTACTCCAAAGTATATGCCATGATGATCCAGAGGATATTGATCATGCACTGGTAAGAAGAATGTCTCTGTATAAACAAATGTTGGTATAATATAAACATTGATAAATTGTGAGCAGCGATCTTTACCTTAGCTCTGAATGTCTAAATTTCACTTGGAATTTTTCAGTAGATTTATATGAACTCAAGCATTATCCTACTTAAAAGAAGGTTAGCAAAAAAAAAAAAGAAAAGAAAACTTATCAAAAGACTTTTTTAAATCCAAAATGACACTATATAAGTGTCATATAATTTATAGGTTAAGGAAGCTATAGATAATGATATCATTATGACTGATTCTTATTGATTACATTAAAGTGATATTAGGCATTTCGGATTTTTCAGATGTTTTTCTTGAGGCCTCCTAGATTTTAAAAATGATAAACTTATAGCAGTTTTAGTGGCCCTCATTATTTTTATGAGTGACTTCAGGGCTATCACAAATAAATGAAAAGTCTATGCAATTTCAAGGCAAACCAATTAATGCCCCCTTCCACCTAAATTATCTCAATATTTCCTACAGATAGGTCCTAGAGTAATGCTGCTAAGGCTTTTTAAACTTGAATTCCACAGATGCAATCCTTTCAGACTTTAAAAATGTTTATTCTCCTCAGTGTTATATATTCCACCAGGTATCCTTTTCCAAGATAATTCTATTTCAATTGAAAATCTTTTAATTCATTGCACAATTATAGTTGAGCATTTCTTGGCACAACTACCCAGATTTGCAAGGCCATAGCTCTTAGGTGCCTATCTGACTGAACCTTGAACCTATGGCATCCATTGTAGCTGGTGATAAAAGTTATATCAGCTCCATTTTCCACAGTTCTTAACTGTTAAGAACAACCCTCTCTAGCTTTCTCATAAATCAACTTTGGGATTATTGGCATATGAGCTTTGTTCAATTTTTCAAGCCACATAAAATAGATTTTTTCCATTTCATCAATCACATTTCCTCAACTTTTGCTCTTGATGGCCAACTGCAGGGGCAGTTTTCAGAGGCTCTGTCACTCATTTGGTCTCCTCATTTCTGTTTGATTATTGTTATATACACCTGCATTTTCATTGCAGGCATCCTCCTCTTCTCAGTAGGGCTTTGATTACTCACACTACTTTTTGCTTAACAGACTTGATTTTAATGAGCTAAATAATAAGAAATCTGACAAAATAAGCATAAATATAGCAACCATTTTCTGGACTAATAAACAACTTGGTGCCCTAGTAATTCCATTGGTAATGTAAAGATGTGACTGCATGTTGGTAAGATAAAGATTTGACTACCTGTATAATTTTATATTGATTAGGTTTGATAGGCTTAAGTTTATAAATTTAGGTATTTTTTGTTGTCACGGTTTTATATAAGGGATTTTTTTTAGTTCTAGGGGACAATCCCTACCATAAAGGAGTTTATAATCAGGGCACTTTTTCAAATATTCCTGTTATAACTCAAAATAAAATTACAATGAAATACATTAGTATTCTTAATATTCATAGAATACAAACTCTGAAAGTAAGATTAGAAATATTTCTTACTTATGATGAAATAACCTTGTTATTACCATTTTAGTTACTTTATGATGAAATAACCTTGTTATTGCCATTCAAGTTACATCATAACTTAAATTCTTGGGTAGAATGTCTTTTCAGAGTGCTCCAAGTAAAGACTATTTGAATTATCTATGCAAGTACCTACTAATATTTAAACTTTTGATGATCTTTTCACATAATGGAGGACAACGGGTTCTATAGATAAACACCCACATCAGTGGTCCACCATTCCTCTTCCAGGGTTATATTTCATTGTGTTCTGATTTTAAAGCAAATTAGGGAGTCTGTTTTTGCCAATTTTCCCATGTTGCTGTGGTTCTGAGTGCTGTGATTATCAAGACGATAGAAGTGGAAGGCGGGAGTGGAGGTGGCTTCTACAGTCTTCAGTGCAGCATCCACTACAGAGTTAATGGCATTTTTACGAAGACCAGGTGTATTTTGTACTTTTTTTTTTGGTACACGTTTCTCAAACTATGTTAAAATTAACCATCAATATCAAAGTATACTGTCAAGAAAAAAAGAAATGCTTATGATGAATATTCATAGCTGTTAGTATCTTTGGAAAAGGTGGGTAATCATTTTTAAAAATAGAGTAATTTTCTTTGGAATACATAACTCTCAAGAACATTTTGATAGCTATATACATCTAAGAAAAGTGTATTCCATTTATTATTCTGTTAATTAAATATTTGTTGATCATTACTGTGCATGAAACATTCTCTCGGATGGAGGTAAGTGGAGCTCCTCCTTGTTAAGGAGAATAGTAGGGAGATGTGACGGCTGCACAAATGACTACATTTCCAAGCAGGATAAAATACCCTGCTCTGGGGGACCAGGAGAAGGGGAAATCACTTCTAATGGAAGTTGATGATAGAAAGAATTTGTGAAAGGCTTTTGCATGATATTTTAAATTTGATAAAAAGATAAGATGGAAGGGCATGTGCAAAGTCACAAAGAGGGAGAAAACAGAAAATGCTTTCCATGAATAATGAGTTAACCTGGGTTGTTAAAAATGTATGGAAATACTGTGTAGGCATGACAGATGAAATCCAAAGGATTTGTTTCCAGTCCATCATTAGCACCACTAAAATAATAGAAATTATTTTTAAAAAGCATACATCTAAAATAGCATGAGAATAACTACGAGAGCAACAAAGTGTTGGATGCGGTAAAGCTTCCAGGGGTGTAACTGAGGCAATAATCAAAGAAACCTGAAAATCGATGTGCAATAAAGGGTTACAAGATATTTAAAGAAAGCCTCTAACACAAAGAGAAAGACCAAAGCAAACAAAAGTTTTAAAAATCCTTGCAAAGAGTAAAATAAAATTTGGGAAACAATTTTCTTGGAGAAATAAGGAAAAAGAAATTATCCTTAAAGCAGGAAAAGGAGGTTAGAACACATTTTGAAAAGTCAATAGGAGGGAGAGTCCTAAGAGACAACAATGAAAAGGCCCACAGGGCTCACCTTACCCTGACCCATGAATTCCAAGTATTGAGAGACCATGGAGGCATTTGAGCAAGTGGTGAATGATGAGGAGTTTTGTCTTAGGATCATTAACCTGGCAGCAATACAAAGAGTAGGCTAGAGAAAAGAGGCAGAGAGCTAGGACAAAAGTTACTAAGGAAAGGAACCAGGGGTATAAATTCCAAAAGAGGTGGCAGGAATAGAGGACAGATTTAGTTTTTACAGAGGAAAGAATATGAGGGAATGAAAAAGAATTGGATATGTAGACAGAAGAAGTACAGGGAATTAAAGTGTTGAGAGTTAATAAGACTCAAACTTCAGTTTTAAGCCTTTGCATTTGAGATATTGGTGGAATTGCAGATAGAAATTATTATCAAGTATTATAGAGACTATTGGTTTCTAAAGACTGAGAGATGAAGAATGGATTTAGAATCACGGAGGTCAATGGTGATCTTGCAGGGAACAGTGTGGCTGGTATGGTAGGGGTGAAAGCCTACTGGAATAGGTTTAAGAGGCTTTGCAAAGAGAAACTAGAGATAATAGGAATACTACTTGCAAGGAATGGTGCCACAGAAGGTTGATAGCTGGCTGAGAATGAGTTCAAGAGCAGACTTTATTAAGAAAGAGGGGAGAATTTCTATCTTATTTGTGTTTTCCAGTTGGGCAGCAGAGAATATCCTAATATTAGAAAATTTTACAAAATTCTGTCATGGTTTTCATAAATGATTATAGCTTGCTTTTCAAAATGCACAAACTGATTGCAATACAAAATAAGTAGCACGAATACTTTAAAAATAGATGTAGATATTAATAATACTAGATAATTTCTGGTTAGTATTTACATCATGGAAGAAAATATAAATTTAGATATTTGGTATTTTTACAGCTTGTCATTTTTTTTTTTTTTTTTTTTTTTTTTTTTTTGAGACGGAGTCTCGCTCTGTCGCCCAGGCCGGACTGCGGACTGCAGTGGCGCAATCTCGGCTCACTGCAAGCTCCGCTTCCCGGGTTCACGCCATTCTCCTGCCTCAGCCTCCCGAGTAGCTGGGACTACAGGCGCCCGCCACCGCGCCCGGCTAATTTTTTTGTATTTTTAGTAGAGACGGGGTTTCACCTTGTTAGCCAGGATGGTCTCGATCTCCTGACCTCATGATCCACCCGCCTCGGCCTCCCAAAGTGTCATTTTTTTTAATTAAATAGAAACCTTATTTTAGGTCTTTACAGGAATCAGCATATAAATGTAAAGACAAATCCTGGCTTCTTGCTGGAAAATCCTTTAAGAAACATAATTTTCATGGCATCTTGTGGTCTTAATCCAGGTAAAGCTCTGCTTTTAAAAAAATGAACAAAAAATATAAACTGCACCAAAATTCAATATTTTGTTACTTTGCTGTCTCCATCTTTAAGTGCTCAATTTTATTCATAAAACAATTGAAGTAATTTAATTTCAAACCATTTGGGTTTTGTCATATTTACTCCCACATTACATGCACGTGGTAGATATGGATGGAAAGCTTTTGACGAATGGTATTTTTTTCAATTGACTGACTAAATCTAGAAACAAGATCTCCTACTGCCCCAGTGCCAGATGGGCCCACCCCACTCTCTCCGACTCTGAAGTGATCAAATGCTGTATGCAGGAAGCTGTACAGCTTTGCCAATTAATAGCTGCAGACTCAATTATGAACAAAAGGGCAGCCAGCCTTTAGTAGGGAAAATCAACTTAGTAGGGAAAATCAAAATGTTTAGCCAAAAAGCATTTAATTGTGTTTCTTTAATAATGAAGTCCCCTTTAGATATGTTCATAAATCAGGAATAGTTAACAGGAAAAATGATAGATATGTTTGTAATGCTACGTAGTTATGGAATTGCTTTCCCATAGATCTTTTCTGATTGATCATTATGTTGGGAATTTTTTGCATGTGTGATAGTCAAATAATGGTATGGGAGAAAAGTCAGGATATTCTATTAACAAGATAATCATTTTATCCTATTCTTGTGTTTACATCTTCTCTGTTGCCATTTAATTCCCCACTTCAAGGCTGTTTCATTGTCTCCATCTCTACTGTATTTAGTTAGGCTTTTTTATTCTTAATGTTTTTTTCTAGCTTTCTTGTAGTCTGTGATTAGAAACACATAAAATTTATCTGATTAGTTAGTGGGAATTAATCACTCTTCTACTACTGAAGCACCCTGCTTTGTTGTATTCTTTTATTATTCCAGACATCAGAATGTAATATTTTAATTCTATATGACCATCTGCCCTACCCGACTAGAAATCCCTGAAGACTGGAGCTGCCTCTCACCTATCTTTGTTTTGCTGGTAGTCAGTGAGCACGGTGCTCTGCATATAACAGGACTCAGGGTTTACCCAACGATGGCCTCAGTGTTTATGTTCCCCATCACAATCCTAACCCCCAAGGCAATGATATTAAAAGGTGCGGCCTTGGAGAGGTGATGAGGTCATGAGTATGGAGGCCTCATGAATAGCATTAGTGCTCTTCTAAAAGAGGCCCCAGAGAATTTGTTCTCCCCTTCCACCATGTGGGGACCCAGTGAGAAGGTATAACATATGAACCAGAAAGTGGACCCGCAGCAGACACCAAGTCTGCTGGTGCCTAAATCTTGGACTTCTTAGCTTCTGAAACGATGAGAAATAAATTTCTATTGTTTAAGTGACCCAGTTTATAGTATTTTGTTATGACAGCCTAAACAGATTAAGACCCTAATCAAGAGTCTACATTTGACCTCTGTGCTTACCTGTTACTAGTAATCAAAACATTTTAGACTTTGACAAAGATAATTGCGTAAGTGTTAGAGGTATATACTTATCCATTGTTAATTTTAATCAATTTTACATAATACAAATGCATTATTACATATGCTTTTCACAGAACTTAAATGCCCTTTGATAACTATGTACTTGAGTCATAAGTAATTATGTAATTTGTCTGAAATGCTTATAATAAATAGCATAAGAGAGATTTAACCATAAAATGTAACATTTATTTACATATCTATTTTTCAAATTATGTGCACATCCAATTTTGATATGTGTAATGTTTTCTAGTGTCTATCATGGTTCAGTGATGTTTTATCTTCACTTCTGAATCATTTTGAAGCAGATTCTGTATATCAGCTTCTTTTCCTTGCCTATTGAACTTTCTGCCATGTAGTTAGTCTTAGCTAACACTTACGTATTTTAACATTTAAAAAATCCTTAGAAATCACCTTGTCCACCCATTTTCATTTTAAACGATGAGGAAACAGGTACAGAGAAGTTATAGGGCTTATATAAAGTTAGTATAAGTTTGTCTTATGATAACTCTAAGCTCAAAGGTAGATATAGGTTTTGTGGGGCTTGAAGCTGATATAACTTGGGAAGCCCTTTTTAAGAAAGGGAATATAAAATTAGGTGAGAAACTTAATATTGACTAAGAATGAGAAAAAAAATAAGAGCCTGGCAGATACCACAAATAAAATCCATCCAGAAAATAACACTGTTACATTGTCCCCGACATCTTTGCAATATTTTTCTCTGTATTTATTAGCTACATATTCCTTGGTCTTTACTTCGTGACAGCAATTACATAATGTCATTTTCTGTGGAAAACAAAGACAGATGATCAGATTCTCCTGTAGCATTGTCAATGGAAACTTGCTTTTTACTATTGACAGTTAAGTTTCTTTCAGCTTCACAACTTATTATTGCTGTTGCCACATCTTCGACTCCCATCTGCCTGTCCTCATTCAGGTCACACAAGCCCTGGAGCAACCTGCTCCCTGGTTGTTTTCCAGCAAACAAGACTCCAGACCCTCACTGTCAACAATGAGCTGGCTATAAACCTGGGTCTTTGTGCTCCTCAAAGCAGGGAGCAGAGCAGCAACCCCCTCAGATCCTTCTCTGGGATTAAAGATAGCGTCCAGATTCTGAGGCACAAGCCAACAGGGGATAGTGCTGGCCGCCCATTCTCCTGCCCTGGGCCTCAACATCAGAATTGAAAGGTGACCCAGGCTCCAACCTGCTAGCAGGTGGCTGATACTGGGTCTCCTGAGAAGAGCATTTGGTAGGAGCCCATACAAGTGAGGGGCTTGGAGCTTAAGCTTGGTTAATTTCATAGTCAGTCTGCTTCTGCCTATGGCAAATCCTTGCAAAAGGCCAGACACTGTTTTTCTCTTTACTAAGAATTTACAGTATTGTAACTGACCCGCTAAGTACTCAGGTAAAAATATTTGTGATTCTCCTGTGTCTCCCTAAGCCACATCTCTCTCTGGGTTTTTAATAAGCTAGCATTAAAAGGCATAAGAATGATACGTTGGACTTTGGGGAAAGGGTGGCAGGGGGATGAGGGATAAAAGACTACACATTGGGTACAGTGCACACTGCTCAGGTGCTGGGTGCACCTGAATCTCCGAAATCACCACTAAAGAACTTATTCATGTAACCAAACACCACCTGCTCCCTAAAAACCTATTGAAATAAAAAATAAAGTTGAAAAATAGCTAGCATTAAATCAACCAACTATTTCTCTGGGTGAATGTTCTGTCGCACACTTGCACAAACCCTGATCTCTCTTCAGGGGCCTCTTCAAAAGTTCAGTATCAGACTCACTTGGCTCCCTCGTGCCGGCTGTGTGACGTTGTTTTTCTCCACTTCGGGACATGCAGTTGGCCATGTGCTCACAGGCCTCTGCTGTGTTCCCTGTGGCACCTTCGCAGACTGAGTGGCTTGGCATTTGGCTGATGTAGGCCATGTGGGCACACACTCAGCTTATTGATAACATCCCTCAGACACTGCCATTTCCAACATTTTCATTCCGGATTTCAGAATTCCCATCACACCATCCCAAATTCTACTAAGTGTCAGACCAGGCCATGCTACCCTGTCCTTTCAGGGCTTACAGAGACTTTGGTGAGATGTTGGATTTGGTCATGGTGCTATTTATTGTTATTATTAATTATTAGTTTTTTAATCACAGCCTCCTATCCTCAAGTTCTAGGTAAAATTGCCAAAGTAGACTCCTTTGAGTTTTGGGATTTTTTTAATTTGGTGCCTGTGATTTCATAAGGAAATATTTTATTTTATACTTTTACTGTAGAGATGCATTTAAAGTTTAATATTAACATATTCTGGAGCATCTTAAGGAAGACAGCCTTATAACTGAATCCTGCCATATGGTTCAAATGCAGCTGATTTGAACAACATTTACTGCACTTGCTTTGAACTAATAAAAGAAAAAACCTCCCTACCTTCTTTCTTTCCTTCCTTCCCACCCTCCTTCCTTCTTTCCTTCCTTCTTTCATTCCTTCCTTCCATCTCCTTTCTCCCAAAACATATTTGTAGTGAACACATCCTTTGGGCCAAACACTGTTTTGGCCCGTAAGTATGTAGTTGTGAGCTAACCGACACTATTCAGGCCTCACAGAGCACACAGTCTGAATGTGTAAAATACGCATTTGCAACAACTGCAGGTGAATAGTGTCATCGTTTGCCATATGAATGAAGGTTTTTCGGTGTTTTGGGGGGAGGAAACAGGTGTGAGAATTGCACGATGCACGGTGGCAGAGCAGCGCTGAGGCTAAAGGAAAAGTGAGTCAGCACGGTGATTGTGGCGTTGGTTCTGACTCAGTGGCAGTGGAGCAGCTTCTGCCCCATCAAAAGAGTATTATGTGATGGGAAGGGGGCTTTGTGCTTTTTCCTGTTTTAAATACAAGATCTGGGAATTTGATTTGTTCCTGTGGTTGTATAAGTGCTATAAGCGTAAGAGGTATTGCCTTGTTTTTATATGGTTTGTTTATTTTTATTTATTTAACAAACACGTTTAAAGCACATATAACCTGTCAGGGGCTATACTAGGTGTTTTACAAATTTCAGCTCATTTTATTTACACATATTTTAGGTAAAAGCAACCAATACAAACTTAGAGGTTGCGGAGAATATATATATGTATATATTTTTTACCTTTATGTACTCACTCAAGTTTAAAATACCTTGTTGAAGATGAAGTCCCTGGTGAAAATGTAGAGACTCAGGGAAATCTAAGTGGCAAATATTCAAATGCATTAACTTTCCCCAACAAAAAGCATTTCCTTGCCTCAGTCTCTGAACCAAGACTCTTGATTTCCTTCTGGAGAAGCTCCTTAGTTCCTAATACAGACCGGCAGGTGGAGCAGCACGCCCTGAACCCTCCAGCAAGCCTGGGCCTGTGTGGCGCTCAGAGCGAGCCTAGCGGGGTTGACCCCTGAGGTTCCAACACTACTTTATTTTTATTTATCAACTTTTATTTTAAGTTCTGGGGTACATGCGCAGGATGTGCAGGTTTGTTTCATAGGTAAACGTGTGCCATGGCGGTTTGCTGCACAGATGGATCCATCCCCTAGGTATTAAGTTCAGCACCCATTAGCGGTTCTTCCTGATGCGTTCCCTCCCTCTGCTCCACTGACAGGCCCAATTGTATGTTGTTCCCCCACCCCATGTGTCCATGTGTTCTCATCATTCGGCTCCGACTTATAAGCAAGAACACGCGGTGTTTGGTTTTCTGTTCCTGCGTTAGTTTGTTAAGGATACCAACTTCCAGCTCCATCCGTTTCCCTGCAAAGGACATACTCTCATTCCTTTTTATAGCTGCATAGTATTCCACGGTGTATATGTACCACATTTTCTTTATCCAGTCTGTCGTCAACGAGCATTCGGGTTGATTTCATGTCTTTGCTATTGCCAACACTATATTTTAAAAGAAAATATTTCTACTTCTTGAAGGGCATGGGCCTTATCTACAGTGCTGGGTTGACCTGGTTACAAGAAATCCACAGAAAACATAATCTGATATTTACTCCCATTACAATATGGTACACCTGTCATACTTCAGCAAGCAAACTGTAAAGGGAGAGAAAATTCACTTTTATTTGAACTGCTCTTTACTCCTCTGAGGCTTCCCTGGTTTGTGGCAAACAAACATTGTAACAGCTTCACCTAGAATTCAAAATTTTAAACCATCTAACAATGTTATAACAGATGAGTCTTGGAGCTTGGAGGCCAGGGAAAAGATAGTCATGAGCAAAACCAGTCTTCCTTCTCTTAGAATAAGTATTGAGAGTATTTATTTGTGCATGTCAATTCAATAATGAATACGAATGTGACCTCGAAATAGTATGTAGTCCATTTCTAATCAAGATGGAACAGCAGTTCTTCTGACCTGAAACAACTTTAGACAAGACGTATGAAACAATGACACTCAAGCCATTAAACATCAGGCAATGAAGGACAGTAATCCTCAAGAGATGGGAAACAGATGAGGTGAGACCTACAATTGCCTCAACTTACTGCCTGGGAAAAGTTTTCAGAGGGTGGAAGCCTAGCTGTCTCCTTGAGTTCAGAAGATGAAGCTTAGAATTCAAGGAAGTTAAGTCGGCTAGAATTCACAGGACAGTATGACACAGGAATGAGATGTACAAAGAGAACTCAAGATCTGCAGAGGGTCCCCCTCAGTGCATGTGTGTGAGGAAACTAACAGAGGCAGGGGAAAGAAGCACCTAAAATAGTAAGGTGGAACAGGGGTCAAGGCTCAACAAAGTAAGAAATAGTTCCTTTTCCCAATAGCCAGAGTGGAAAACTTAATATTTCAAGGGGCATTGAGTAGAGTTCTAAAAAGGATCCTCCCACACTAAGAGGGAAAAATGAACCTTGGTAAAAATGCTAATTTAGGACCACCTAACAAAGCTTAAAGGCAAGACTTTAATATTTGGGCTCACATTAATCCCAAATATTCTAAATAAGTTAACCATGTTCCAGAGAAATTTCAAAAATATTTATAGCTATAAATTAACCATGATCCAAAGAAATTTCAAAAATATTTATAGCTATACTAAAATTCTTAGCCTGTAAAAAGTAATATCCAAAATGTCTGGCAACCAATTAAAAATTATCAGACATACAAAGAAGGAAATAAATACAGCCTAAAATAAAGAGAAAAATCAATATATTGAAACTGACCCAGAATTTACAGATAATAGAAATAGGACATTAAAATAGTTCTTATGACTATACTTCATATATTCAAGGAGCTAGAAGATACATCTTACATTTTAATAGAGACATAGAAAATATAAAAAGATCCAAATCAATTTTTAGAGTTGGGAACTACAATATCTAAGATGAAAAGCACACTGGATGGGATCAAAGGCACGTTAGATATTGCAGAAGAAAAGATTTGTGAACTTGAGAACAGCCATAGAAAATATCCAAAAGGAAGCAGATAGAAAAAAAATTAAGAAAAAAAGAACATTTTTTCAGCAGTGAGACAACTAGAATTGACCTAATATACATGTAATTCAAGTCACTGAATGAGAGAGGAGTGGGAGATAAAATAATTGAAAAGATAATGACCAAAAAATGTCCAAAGTTGGTAAAAACTATGAACCCACAGATCTAAGAAGCTCAGTAAAACGCAAACACAAGAAAGATGAAGAAAATGACACCAAGGCCCATTATAATCCAATTGCTTAAAATAAGTAATAAGGAGAACATCTTAACAGACATAGAAAAAATGACACAATGTAAATAAAGGAAAGATGAAACCTATGACACCTTGGGAAAGAAATGCAGGCTAAAAGACTGTGGAAGAGCATCTTTAAAGTATGCAAAAAATTATGAACCTATAATTCTTTATTCTGAAGAAATATTTTTTTAAATCAAGGTGAAATAACAAGTTGTTTTCAGATATACATAAGTCAAAACAAATTCTCACCAGCAGGCATTCACTAAAGAAATGTTAAAAGAAGTCCCTCCAGCAGAAGGAAAATGGAAATAGAAGAAACCCTGTGTCTACACAGAGGAAAGAAGGGACCAGAAATGGAAACTATAAGAGTAAACATACTTTATTTTTCTTATTATTTTAATATCCAATATTTTCTGATTATTTAAGTCTTTAAAATTAATCTACTGTTTAGATAAAAATTACAATGTAATAAGGTTCATAACATACGTAGGATTAAAATCTATGACTACACTAGCATAAAGGCCTGAAGGAAAAAAAAAGTATATTGTTGTAAGGTTTTTATATGTGTGTGTGAGGTATAGTATACTATCACTTGAAAGTAGACAGTGATAAGTTTAAAATGTTTACTCTAAACCCTAAGTGAACCGCGAAAATAACCATAAATAATTATAGCTAGTAAGCCAAAAAAGGATATAAAACACAATAATAAAAAATTCTTGAGTAATCCAAAGGAAGGCAAGAAAAGGAGAGAAAAGGAACAAAGAACAAATGAAACAAAAACAAAAAAAAGCAATATGTATATTTAAACCCAATAATATTAATAATTATATTAAATGTAAATGGTTTAAAAACACCAATGAAAAGGAAGCAATTGCTAGATTGAATTTAAAAGCAAGACCTAACTGTATTCTGCCTACAAGAAACCCACATCAACTATAAAGGCGCATACAGGTTAAAATTTACATGGAAAAAGATAAAATATGTGAACACTAATCAAAAGACAACTGCGATAGCTAATGAGTATCAAACAGTGGATTTCAGAACAGAGAATATTGCTAGGAATGAAAAGGATCATTACATCGGAATAAAGGAATCAGTTTATCAAGAAGATGTAACAATTCTAAATACTAAGCAGAAACTGACACAATTTCATGGGGAAATATATAAATCCACAATGATAGAGATTTCAACACCTATTCCTCAAGAACAGATGGAACAAGTAGATAGAAACTTAGTAAGGATGTAGGCAATTATTATAACAAACATTTTTTATTACAAAAGATGTGAAATATTTTTGGAATTGAACAATTTTATCTGAGTTACATTTTATTTAAATGAGACATAAATAAGGCCACATTGTAGAGAGCAAAATTTAAGAGTGTGAATTAGTCAGCTATTAGTTTAGGAAATTCAAATTTTAGATGATTTTTTCTTTTTAAAACATAGCACTTTCTCTAGAAGTCAATTTTTAAACATCAAATGCTTTATTACAAAGTTAAAATAATTATAGAAATGATTAATTTAACTGTCACTCTTTACATACTTCTCTGGTTTATTTACATTATTTGGTTGGGGAACTTTGCTGAGTTACCTAAAGGAGATTTCAGAGAAAATTTGTTATGGAAAAATGGACCATATTAACTTAATTCAGAGTTTCCTATCCCAAAGTTTGCATAAATCAAGAAATTACTTAGTCAAAAGCTTTTATGGAAGCAAAGTTTTAGGAAAAATATTTTAAATATTAACTTTAATGGTAATACTAAGAGATTTTAAATATTCTAACATAATTCTTACAACTTGGTGAGAATAGGATTATTATCTCAATTTTATAGTTGAGGAAACTGAAACTCGTATGTTTTAACAACCTGTCAGAAGTCACACAAAGCAGCAGAAAAAGTTCTTCTAAATCTATGTCCACTTTTTTCTCCACTAACTTCATGATAAAAATAACACAAAACAAAAATCACTTAAATTAACATCCAGAAATAACCGCTCATCCTTTTTTTGTGATTGATGAAATATTGCCTTAATTTGATAACATGAAATGAATATGTAGAGGGTAAAAGGAAGGAATGTGTATTTTGCTTAGAAACTATAGGTAAATAGATATTTGCATATTTTTAATAGAAAATATATTTGTTTAAAGTAAAAGTGAGGACATTTGAGCTAATCTAATTCACAATTCTAAAATAGCACCATCTCACTACAATAAAATACATTCAAGTGTTAGTTAACCATTGACTGAAAAAATGAATGATATTTTTAGACTACACAAAAATGTACTAAACATTTTTTAAGCATTCTTACTCATTCTCTTCCTCCTTTCTTTCTCCTCTCCACATATGCATATATATGCTACTGGCAAAATGAAATTATAACTGCTGTTTTTCATTTATCATTATGTATTGGCACCTCTTTCTCTGCTAATAATTAGTTTACATTATAATTTTTTAGTGATGTTTTGAAATCTATATTTAAGGGCATAATTTATTTAACCAAATCTCTATGTGGAAAGCATTTAATAGTTTTCCTCTATTTTAAAATATGCTATGATAATTATTCTTGTACTTACATCTCTGCAGACTTTCTAATTATCTCATTAGTATAAATTCCTGGAAGTATAATTGTTGGATCAAGGGGTATTAACATTATAAATTTTGAGACCTATTGTTAAACTTCCCTCTAAAAGTATTGTACTTGATTTGGAGTCCCTCTAACAGCATATAAGTGTATTTCTTTTATATTCTTGTCAACAGTTGATATTATCAATGCATTTTTGTCAACTGGTTAACAGAAAACTTCATCTCCTTGCTTTTGTGTATATTGAACATAAGGATACTATCTTTTCATATACCTTGTTGCCATTTTTAATACATTTTACTCTTATGAATTGGAAACAATTGGTCACATTTCTCAAATATTTTATTAGTTTTCTTATAATCATATTGACTTTACAGATTAATTAGGAGAAAATTACAAATTTAGAATATTGAGTCTTCCCTAAGAACAAGATGAAATCTTGTGGAACCAGAAATTTTTATTTCTTCAAGTAATCCTTTATGTCCTTCAGTAGAGCTTTATTATTTTCTTTGTTTAACAATGTGACAGGAACTTACCAAACCTCTTTTCTTTTTGAATAGTTTTCTATCTTCCCCTGTAGTTAATTAAGCATGGCCATTTAACTAAGTCCTAGCTAGTGAACACCAGTTTCAGTCCTTGTTCTAATACCCCCAGCCCATGGTCATCTTATCTTAATTTCTCGATCTCCCTTGTCTGCGTGGAAAGGACTGTGAGGACCTAGAGGAAGATAGAGCTGCAAGATGGAAAGATGACATTCAAGGCTATGCAGCAAGAAAGAACATCAGTGTGGGACTTTGTGTGATCCAAAAATAAGCTTGTACTATTTTCAGACACTGAAGGTTTTTTTTGTTTGTTGTTTGTTTGTTTTATTGTTGTTTGTCATAGCAAATTCTGTTTTTCTAAGACAGAAATGCAGGAGTTGGTTCTAAGAGTGGTGTGATATAAAAATCTGAAGCAACTGGTCAGTAGGGCTATGAGAAAACAGATACAGAAGACTGAGAAGCTGAAAAATATTGATATTCTATGAAATAAACATTTTTAAATGTCAACTGTGACAATTCGGAAGGCAGACTCAGTGCTCACTGAGACTGTGGCTCTAGAGCAATACTTGAAAAGGCTCAGAATGATAGTGTATGTTTGCTACTCTTGGTGCTTTCAGCAAGACATTACAAGAAAGAGGTGAGATCGGATAAGAATTGGTTAGTTTTCAAGCACAGAAAAATGGGAATGGAGATGTTTCAGTGATCAAAATCCTTACAGGTTTGGAAAATCCAACTGCTTCTGAACTCAAATAGCATTAGTAACAAGTAAATGTGCTTGAGAAAGTTCTTAGCTACAAAGGCCCAATGAAACTTCTCATTGGGAAAACAGACTCATCCCTGCAGCCTAAAGCAGATTTTATATATATGGCTTTCCCAGCTAATTTTTTTTCAGTTAGCTTTAGGGTAGGCACAATTACATTGACAAAGAAAGAGAGAATGAGGGAGGCAGAGAGAGAGAGAGAGAGAGAGAGAGAGAGAGAGGGAGAGAAAGGCAGGTGCATGAGGGCAAGGAAGCAATGAAACAAACCAATTTGAGAAGGAAATCAATTTAGGTGTGGTTATTAGGACATAAAACTGCACAGAAAGAAATAGATAAGTCTGCAATATTTTGGGGTTATCATATTGCCAAAGAAACCATGAGTTAAGACTAAAAAAGCCTTCCCTTAATTTCCTATA
Organism: Homo sapiens; assembly: GCF_000001405.40. Lineage (NCBI taxonomy): Eukaryota > Metazoa > Chordata > Mammalia > Primates > Hominidae > Homo > Homo sapiens. The sequence goes on from NC_000006.12 coordinate 162,785,398, forward strand.
CAAACCCTTGGATCTTTAAACTTGCAAAGCAAGAAGCGAACTGTGAAAATGGTACAACTCCCAAGGGCCTGCACACCCAGTTCTGATGGAATACACCCAAGATCAGTGGTCTGCAACCTATTTGGTGCCGGGGACTGGTTTCATGGAAGACAGTTTTTGCACAGACGGCCAGGGGGTGAAGGGGTGCGGGGGTTGGGGGAGGATGGCTTCAGGATGAAACCGTTCTACCTTTGATCATCAGGCATTAGTTAGATTCTCATAAGAGCATGCAAGCTAGATCCCTTGCATGTGCAGTTTACAATGGGCTGTGCGTTCCTAAGAGAATCTAATGCTACCACTGATCTAACAGGAGGCGGAGCTCAGGCGGTAATGCTGGCTTGCCCACTGCTCACCTGCTATGCGGCCCAGTTCCTAGCAGGCCACGGACCACTAGCGGTGAGCAGCCCAGGGATTGGGGACCCCTACCATGTAGGATAACAAACAAGTAAGAGACTGCTTGAGGGCAGGGCCAGGACCCGTGGAGGACAGTGCACAAGGCTGCCCCCTCCAGAGAGCTGCATTAGGTCCTAAGCAAGGAATTTCTCCCATCACAACAGAGTAATTGCGCAAGGTCTTCCTGGCAGGGCCTGCCATATCTCTAGTTTTTCCTTTCCTAAAGGGAAGTGTTTGTTGTGGTTACCTTGTCCTGTTCCACCATAGTGTGTTGACACACAGAGGGGCAGATAAGGTGCCCACTGAATTCCTGTGTCACCAGAGCATATCTGAACTAATGAAGAGGATTGATTACAGATGGCTCAGAGAGAGCCTCAGCTTTGAGGTATAAACAGTGCCTGGGTGGGATTGTGGGTCTTCTGTGAAGACTGACTATAATCTACATGTAAAAAGAGGAGTAAAATGGAGATTTGGTTAAGAGATTGGTGGACTCTAGCAGAGACTAATTACTCTTAACGAAACCCGTTTTCTCCTATTCCTGAATACACAGCTAGACTACATTTCCCAGCCTCCCTTACAGTTAGATATATCTATTTTATTCAGTTGTAGCCAATAGAACATGTGTGGAATTAATGTATGCTATTCGTGGTGTGGTTCATAAAAGCCTTATATGGGCAACCATCTATTATCTCATTCCCATAAGTTAACTTCATGGAGAGAACGCCTAGGACCTAGAGAAGGGTAGAGCCATAGTGTAGAGGAGGCTGGTTCCCAGAATGCCCAAGTAGAAGGCAGAAAGGTCTGCTTTGGACTTCAATCAGAAGAAACACAATCTTAACGAGTTTAGCCTAATGAAAGTTGACTGGGGCTTTTGATTGTTTGAATAGCAAGTGGTTTTTTTTTTTACAGTAATACAATTTTTATTATGTTGTTAAATCTCTTCCTCTCACTTTTTAATGTTTTGAAGGTTGTTATTGTGAATTGTTCAAGAATCCAGGATGAATAGAGTCATAAATTTTTTCAGTTGTATTGGATCACTTAGGCTGAACTTAGACTTCATTTACAAAATCAAATGCACTGTTAATGCAAAGTAAATCTAATATAGCGCACGATAAACTATATATTGATCAAAATTTCCAAATAACATTTTAAATTATACGAAAGAGTAGCAGTTTTGCCAGTAGAAATACTGAAATTTCTGCCATGAGTAATAGTTTATACTAGGAAGAAAAATAAATATGTGATCTGCCCTCAGCTTTTGCATGATAGCAGAGAAGTGATTGATATTAGGTTATTCATTTATGGGTAGCTCCTCTGTGCTTTATTTCTCACCCTGTCAGACTGAGAAGAGCTACCAATTTTATTAGGACTGCTGATGTACTCTGTACTTATAGTTTTATTACCTATTGGAGAAGCTACAAAATATTGGCACTCTTTAACAATGAGCCTTTTATGCTTCCTTGTGTCAGCAAGTATTTTAGATTAATACCCTATGTTTGATTGATGGAATTGTACTGAGCTCTTTTTTAAGGTTCTAATTTCTCCAAACATGTAAAAAAACTAGCAGGGGGTCTCACATATATGTGTAGGCATATATATATACACACACATATACACACATGATAACTCTATTATGTATATAGTTATATATGTATATGGTATATATATGTATATGGCTATTGTGTGTGTATATGTGTGTGTGTGTGTTTGTGTATATATATATGGTTATTGTGTGTGTGTGTGTGTGTGTGTGTATATATATATATATATATATATATATATATATATATATGGTTGTCCTCTCTCTTTTGCTAGGCAGACATATGTCTGAAGCTGATATTATATATTTGTCTATTATTATAAATAACCAACATAATGGTATCCATGTTATTAGGTTTGCAAAATATTTTTTGAACAGAAAACACCAATTTAGAAGGAATACAAACTTATATTCTGAAGTTCAAGTGGGGAGACATAAGAATGCCTGTCCTCTAATTTTTTTTTGAAAAATTATTAAAGCTAGTCCAATGCCAGTGTTGGACTAGTAACCTGGATTTTTTAAATTAATAGACTTTATTTTTTAGAGCAGTTTCAGGTTCACAGCAAAATTGGGCAACAAAAGGTACAGGGAGTTCCCGTGTGCTCCCTGCACCAGTGTGGTACGTTTGTTACAACTGATGAACCTGCACTGACACATCATTGTCCACCATGTTCATAGTTTACATTGGGTCATTCTTGAATAGTCTGAGTTTTGACAGATAAATAACGACATTTTCCACCATTACGTATCATACAGAGTTTTTTGAGTGCCATAAAATACTTCCGTGACCCCCTATTTATTTCTCCCTCCTCTGAATCCCCAGCAACCACTATCTTTTTACTGTATCCATAGTTTTTTCTTTTCCAGAATGTCATGCAGTTGGAATCATACAGTTTGTAGCCTTTGAAGATGAGCATCTTTCAGCTAGTCATATGCATTTAAGATCTCTCCATGTCTTTTCATGGCTTGATAGCTCATTTGTTTTTTAGTGCTGAATAATATTCCATTATTTGGATATACCACAGTTTATTTATCCATTCACCCACTGAAGGACATCTTGGTTCCTTCCAAGTTTTGGGAATTATGAATGAAGATGTAAACATCTGTGTGCAGATTTTCATGTGGACATAAGTTTTTAATTCATTTGGGCAAATTCCAAGGAGTGTGATTGCTGGATGATAGGGAACAGTATGTTTAGTTTTGTAAGAAACTTGCAAACTGTCTTCCAAAGTGATGGCACCATTTGTCATTCTTACCAGCAGTGTATGAGAGTTCCTGTTGCTCCATATCTTCTCCAGCATTTGTGGTTGTTAGTGTTCTGAATTTTGGCTATTTTAATAGATGTGTCATGATACCTCATTTTTTAAATTGGCATTTCTTTATGGCATATAATGCGGAGCATCTTTTTGTATGTTTACCTGCCATCTTTATATCTTTGGGAGGTCTCTTTTCAGGTCTTTTGACCATTTCAAAATAAGGTTGTTCATTTTCTTATTTTGAGTTTGAAGAGTTGTTTTTATATTAGAATAACAGGCTTTTATTATGTGTATCATTTGTAAATATTTTCTTCCAGTCCGTGGCTTGTCTTCTCATTCTCTTGAAGAAGAAAAGCTTCCCTGATTGGAAATTGAACTCAGGCCACAGCCATGAAAATAATAAATCCTAACCACTAGACCAGGGAGTGCATGCTCTAGATTTTTAAAATCTTGTAATAAGAATATTAAAGGATTAATTAAAGTAAATATTTGGTCTTTTATTTTGTTGTAAAACTAAAGATATGTCAATTATCTCCAAGAGATCTAAAAGAATGGAAAATATGTTTCTTCCCTGTTTTGATCATTGAGTGAGGAGGCAACTAACTGACTCTTAAAAGCTTGGAACAATTTTCAGAATAATTGAACCTTGGCAGAGCTTTGCTATAATCATTTTTAATAATATTTCTATCAAACAGTTGTGAGTCCCTATAATGCTAGGTAACAAAGTTTTGTTGAAATATATAAATTTCTTTTATTTAGTTTTTGTAGCATAACCATATTGGTACATCAAGTATTTGAACATGCTTACTTTTATAGGGAACTAACAACTCATCTTCTAAGGCAAAAATCAAAGAAGGTTACTATAAAAATCCACAATCATGTTAACTTTCAAAGTCTTAGTTTCACTAAGGATCATTTTTTCTTTACAGAGATGAAAAGGAGTGCTTACTATTTCAATTAACTCTTGGTTTCTTCATATTATATTTAGCTATTTGAGATTAAATAGATTCATTTAGGTATCATGGATTAATTTACATATATGACTTTAATTATCTTTCAATATATTATCAGGTATTGATTTAGACTGTTTTCATAAGTCTTTTGGTCTTCCTCAATAGAAACTGATTTCCTGTGGATTTACATGATTGCCCTCTAAATAACCAGGGTGAGATAACTGTGCCAAAATGATTGGCTGGAGAGAGTATAAGTTCATTTAGACCACTTTTAAAAATATCAAAGTATTGTAGTAGATCTCTGTTGTACTTTAGCATGATTTGAATCATGTCGTCCAGGTCTGCATATCTACCTGCATATGGAGTAACACCTGATCATAAAATCACATTTAGCACTATTGGTTTACCATTTCCAAGTACTGATTTTAGAACTAGATCTCAAATAGTAGGCAATTTTTGTGTTGTATCTGTGGGGAGAGAGAGTCTGCTTTCACATGACTTTCTAAAAGTAGCAAATTATATCTAAATGATGTTTAAGTGTTTTAAAATGTAAACACTTAGATTTTAAATCTAAAAACACTTATTGGAAAAAAATCTTTATTTCCCTTGCATAATGTTGGCATGAATGCAGCGTGGCTGGATTGGCAGTTCTGTTACTGCAGGAAGTGGATTTAAAAATGTATAATTTCAAAGCCAAATAATTCAGGCAGGCATGCTCATAGGATGGATAGGTTCAGTGGATACATTTGCTCTCCCCGCACTCACCCCACTCACCCCACCAACCCTGACTCCTCCTTTGTTTTGTGCTTTGTCTTTCTTTTCTGTAGATTGGGATCCAGGTTCAAAAATCTTAGCATAGTTTACCCTTCTGTAGTCCAATTTTAAATACTCTAATGGAGTGTTCTATTGTTTTGTAGCAAGTCAAATAGTTTTCTCCATATATATATATATATTGCTTAGCCATTCCATACATAGTTAATTCTTTTAATCTTACCTCATAAATCAATATTTCTAGGTCATTAATCACCCGTACTGCCCTTTACACATCTTACTGTATATATCCCTTTTCCCAATCCCTTGTAAACCTGATTTTCCCTCTGCACAAAATTTATTATATAATCCTAAGTAGGCTGAAGATATAAATTTCTTTTTGGAAGAAGAGTGCTTTAACATTAAAACGTCTCTAAGACTGGTCTTATCTAGATCTGCGTTGATCCCGCTATGTATCAAAGGACAACCTAAAGCCGGAAGATAACTGAATAAGTCTTTTAACTTACTTGCCACTTCTAAAATATTGAGTTACATTTGACCAGATAGCTCCAATAAAGGGACAAGATTTATTGCTTAGGAAACTTCAACCCTGTATTATTGTGCTTTGTTTAGCAGATTTTTCTAAAGGAGAAACATATGTATTTAAAGAGGTAGAATTTTTTATTATTGTAAATGAACAAAAGATATTTCTAGCCAGTTGTGTCTCCTAGAATGTACTGTAGTTAGGTAGAATTAGGATGTTGCTTTCAATTTATGTATGTGATGCTTATAGTTTCACACAACTCAAGGTATGTCTTAAAGTGAGTGTGACATATAGAGAGAGAAGCAGCCTCCCTATTACATAGATACTTAACTTAGATTGTATATGTGCTTGCAAGGATTGGAAGCCAAGCTGAAAATGGGGGTTTTTGTGGGTATATTTGCTCTCTTTTCCCCACTCTGACTCCTAGTTTGTTTGTTTGTTTTTTTTTTTTTTGCTTTGCGCTAACTTTCCTTTTTCTGTAGATTGGGTTCCAGGTTCAAAATCTTAGTGTCACCTTTGATTCTCCTTTCCTTCTCTACCCCATAGGTAATTTTAAAATATGTCAGAACAATGGCTTCTTTTATCTGCTATTTTCTTGTTATTTCAAACAATGTATTTATAGATTGCCTGATCCTTCTAAAGTGAAAACTGCAGGAGAGTAGGATTCCTATTTGCCTTGTTCACTCCTAAATGCCTGGAACTTAGAACAGCAAGTGCTCGGTAAATATGTGTGTAATGAATTAATGAATGTCACTTGTCTTAGTCTTCCCTTTCCATTTGTACTAGCTCCACGTGGGCGCTTTTGCTTCATATCTAGATTATTTAAAATATATAGCATCCCATCAATTTGAATTTCACCATTCAGTACTTACTGCATTCTAGAAGGAGGATGGGGAATGCAGAAGGTAATGTGTAGTTTTAAACAGGGCAGTCATGGAACGCTTTAGAAGGGACAAGTTCTAATGACACCTGGGGGTCAATCCCAGCAGGACACAGAAGCAAGCGTACATCCTCTCCTGCAGGAGGCTCCTGTGTGATGTTTCACATGCTGACGGGTGTGTAGATGTGGTGGTAGCAGCCTTCCGAAGTCCCCTTTATGTTATTTCTATTCAATGACTAGGAGCAAGAACATTAGCTGTGAATGAGGCTGGAGAAGAGGTGTTGGAGGTTTGAGGAGAGAATGAAATATATAAAATAGCCATCTGTGTGCATGGCCAATTGAATGGAGTAGAGAAGTGTGGTGAAATCGCTTGTTCTGCACCAGCTACATTGGGCTGCTGAGGCCTCAGCATACGGTTGACAGAGAGCTTGATCTAGGCAGCATCTGCAAAGCACAGCAAACTAAGGGTGGGTTAAGGGAGTTCAGGGTGAGTGCAAGGGAGAGATTGTACCGACTGACCATGACTTTAAACTGGGTCAGGCAGGAGGGCAGAAATAGGAGTAAGGGGCAGGGAAGAGAAGGGAAATAATTGGATTTTCAGGATTTTATAGCGAAAGTTTCAGGGTTAGGGTTGCAGAGGGATTGAGCTAGAAAGATAAGAAATGGTAGTCTTAGAGTGGGATATATGAAGTCTGGAATTTTGGAGTGGCTGCAATTATTTGTCAGAAACCTGGCTGGCCAGGATGCAGGTCAAGACCGTGATAGAACAGGCCAAGGAACTAGAGAGGCTGAAGCACTGGTCCAACTATCTACACAGGCCCTGAAATGGGATAGAACAGTCTGAAAGAGGAGGCAGACACTTCGTCTCTAGTCCCAGTGTTATAAAATGGATTTTAGAGAGAAAACAACCAACACTGCTGGGGAGACAGCATCCTTAGGGAAAAGTCAGGCTTCTGTTAGAGCAAGAAGAGGTGAAAAAGGCAATCTGAGACAGGGAAGGGTATGCAAAAGAGGTTTTCCTGATGACCGACTGTGAGCAGCAGGGGCACAGTGCAATGGTTTTAGCAGTTGATGAGGTGGCAGAGATGATTTCAGAAAAGGAGATGTGTAGAGCCATTCAGGAGCCAGAATGCAAAATGAGAGGTGACCTAGTGTTTACACTTTATTGGGACTAAAGGGCATGGTGAGTTTGGTCTGGAGAGTGCTGAGGTATTGGTTGGCCATGAGTATAGGAGGAACAGTAGGCTGGGGCTCAGCTGGACCTTGAGTCCTGCAATAGAGGGAGGGCAGTCCAAGGGCAGGTGATTTTCCTCCTGGCACGAGAGCTCCCTTAAGACACTTTTCCACTGGTAAATTTGTAGTTTATTCATTTCACCACCATTTTACAGTCCATTTTCAAAAAATGCTGTGAGTATTCACTCATTCTACTTATTCAGGATTGTTGTGTTGTTGTTCTTTTTTGTTGTCTTTTACAAATACTGCTGCCATGAACATTCTCATAAACATAAGTATAGTTTCTTATTGAGAAAGACAATAATCATGGATAAGGGATTCTCTAGGGAACATGCCTAGGAATGCAATCGCTTGGCCACAGAATATGTACATTTTTATTTTATTTTTATTTTTCAGAAGTAAAGAGTAAAAACATTGAATGATCTCATATAACAAAGTATCTGGAGGAAACAGCTCCTTGATTTCTTCAGGGACCCATATCTTTTGCATCTTTCTGCTGTAGCATCCTTGGAATATTGTCTTGTTGCTTCATGGTTGGAACATGGTGCCCATTGTTCTAGGCATCCTTTCACCATCTATCTGGACAAGAAGAAGGAAGAAAGGAATTGACATGTGCATCTGCATTTAGCAGGCATCATTAGTATAAAGCTGTTTGACAAATATTAATTGAACCATCATTTGGGTGGCAATGTGTCAGGCTATGGAATTTAATAATTAGTCAAAAATGTACAATTTGGACTCTTTAGCAAATCTTACAGGTCCAAATACAAGACTTCTTCCTAGAAATTTATTTTACATGTCTGATTACGCAGAGAAGGGTCATTCCCCAACTCCAGCACACTCTTAACAATTCTTGTGTTCTGACTCTGAGGAGGGAAAGGATCAGGAAAAATAACTAATGGATACTGGGCTTAATACCTGGGTGATGAAAGAATCTATACAACAGACTCCCATGACACAAGTTTACCTATGTAACAAACCTGCACATGTACCCTTGAACTTAAAATAAAAGTTAAATTTAAAAAGTATGCATTTTTATATATGCAGCTTTACTAGGCAATGGTAAATGGTTTCCAAAGTGTATCCATTTACACTCAAACTAGCAGGAATGAGACTTCCCATCCCTCCATATCCTCACCAACACTTCACAGTACCAGAATTTTTTTGTCATCTAGTAACATAAAGATGTTTTATTAGTGTTCTATTTGCACCCCTGTGATTATTAATGAAATTGAGCATTTTTAATTTGTTTTATTGGCTATTCAGTTATACTCTTCTGTTGTTACTATATATTTCCTGCTTTTCTGTGGGGTTGTGTTTCTTTTTCTTGTTGATCTGTTGGAGTACTAATATGTTTTGAATACTAATTTTTATTGATTATGCTTGTATATATCTATTTGGAGTTTATGGCTTACCTTTTAATTTTTTAAATGGCATCTCTTGATGAGCAATCATTGTTAATGTGGACAAATTTATCAATTTTTATACTTTATGGTGTGTCCTTTTAGCTATCTTTCTTAAGAAATCGTTGTCTATCCCAAAATAATAAAGATTTTTTTCTGCATTTTTGTTAATTTTCATATGGTTTGGCCTCCAATATTTCTTTTAATCACACAGAATTGAATTTCATATATGGTGTGAGACAGAGATACAGTTTTTCTTTTTGCATGAATATGCAGTTGTCCCGCACCATATATCGAAAACTACCTTCCCCATTCATCAGCAATGTCACCTTTCCCATATGATCAAGTTTATGCAATCACTCAAGAAATATTTATTGAACACCTGTTCTGTACCATGTACTATTAATCTAACAAGGAACAAAACAAACAATGATTCCTCATGGAGCTTATAATTCAGCTCAGGTAGGAAGGTAATAAACAATAAGCATTACAGATGCATTCTATGGTACATTAGAAAGGAATGAATACTATGGAAAAAAGAGAAAGTGAATGAATACTATGAATATTGTGGAAAAAAAGATCTGGATAAGGGGGTTTGGAGTTCTTGGTGGGGAGACCGTTATTTTAAATGGGGTGGTTGTGGTAGGTCGCATTAAGAAAGGGAGACCGAGACACTTAAAAGAGATGAGGTAATGAAACAGACATCTGGAAGAACACTCCAGGCAGACACAACACCTAGAGCAAGTTCCCTCCACTGGGAATTTGCCTGATATGTTCAAGGGAAGCCAGTGTGGTTAGTGCAGAGTAAACTGTGGTGAAAATAGATGAGGAGATCAGAGAAGAGGGGTGGGGGGCAGAGTAGGTAAGGCTGTGCTGGCCGCTGTATGACTCTTTTTAGGACACTTATTCTTTCTTTTTTCTTTTCATTGACTATATGCGCCTGTTGGAACTAATTCTGTTGTAAATTGAAAGACATTGATCCAATTTTATTCTACCTGGATGGCTAACCAGATGTCCCAACACCAGTTAATGAATCGTCCATGTTTCCCCACTGATTTGAGGTCTAACTTTGTGATTTATTGAATATGCAAAATTATTTGAACTATAACTAGATCCCTGCTCCAGTGACCTTATGTTATACCTGTACACACTGATTTTTTTTTTGGAGATTTCCTGACTAATTTTTTAAAATAATTCAGTGTAAACTACAGAATCATCTTCTCAATTTCTAAAAAGAAAAACCTAGTTGTATTTTTATTGCGATAGTATTATGTTTATAAATTAATTTTGCAAAATTAACCATTTTGTGATGTGTAATGATGTGCAATCCTTCTATCACAAAATAGTGTGTTTTCTAATTTTTAAGTCTTGTTTATACTTTAAATCATATTTCAAAACTTCTTCAAATAGATCTTGTACATTTATTACATTTTTCCCATGTACTTTATTTTTTGTTACTATAATTGAGTCTCTTATCAATATCTCCTAATTGATCAGCACTTTTGTATATGAAAACTATAGATTTTTGCATGTTAATTTTGCATGCTAGTACCTTACTAAGTTTCTATGTTACTTACCAATTTTCAGGTGGTTTTCTCTGAGTAAATGATCATGTAATCTTCAAAGACTTACTGTTTTATCTCATCATTCCCCAATGTTTTAACCTCATTTTTTTTCTCTTACCTAATTGTACTGGCTAGTGCCTCCAATAAGAATATTTTTAAAATGTTAAATAGTACAGCAATAGAGGACATCCATATCTTCTTCTTGCCTTTAGTAGAAGTGTGTTGTATTTTCCCGCATGGTTCTGAGATTGGAGCTTTACATTTGACTTTCTTGGTAGATTTTTCTTTATTTCTTCATTTTCAATCTCTCTGGGTCACTTTGTTTTTAGCACAGACGTGTTTTTCTTTATGATCAAAACTGAAAGTTTATTTAGTCTTTTTATATTTATTAATAGCTGAGATGTTGGTCCAGGTTCTGTGAAATTATTTTGTAATGTTTTCTATTTTTATCTTTCTCTGTGTGCTCAGTTTTCTTTGTTCATGTGTATTTGAAAGAGTATGTACACTGTTTATTTTGTTTTTATGGTTATCTTTATAACGGTATATCACCTATAGCCCTTATTTTTTATGATAGCTATTAATTCCCTAATATGACTAATGAACATAATTAATATACTTTCTCTTCTTCCCTTTCTACAGTACCACCTGATTTTAGTCAATAATATCATATTTCATAGTGCTTACCTTTGTCTGGTTAAATATAGTTCCATGCTCTAAATCCTGTCCTTTGCCTCCCAATGATAATAGATGAAGCAAAAAAAAAAAGGATACCTCACATGTTTTTCTCATCTCTCTCTCGATTTGTGTTAGTTGTGTCATCTGCATATGATATGTGTTATTGACATTCTGTACTATCATCCTGAAGCCAATGCTAAATGATGAGTTGTGTAGTTATTTATGTGAATGCTTGACACAGTCCTTTCAAAGACATTGCCCCAGTCCTTTCCTGAGAGTCTCAAGCTTGTCTCCAAAGAGTTTCCTCAAGAGTGGTTCATAGCAACAATTATCTTTGAACTTTTGAATTTCAAAAACTATTTATCTGGCTGGGCACAGTGGCTCACGCCTGTAATCCCAGCACTTTGGGAAGCCAAGGCAGGCAGATCAACTGAGGTCAGGAGTTCGAGACCAGACTGGCCAACATGGCGACCCCCCGTCTCTACTAAAAATACAAAAATTAACCAGGTGTGGCACATGCCTGTAATCCCAGCTACTGGGGAGGCTGAGGCAGGAGGATCACTTGAACCCTAAGAGGCAGAGGTTACAGTGAGCCGAGATCATTCCACTGCACTGGGTGACAGAGCAAGACTCCATCTCAAAAACCAAACCAAACAAAAAAAACAACAACAACAGAAAAAAACCTATTTATCTGTAGATTTTATACCTAAAGGGCACTTTTCCTGGAAATATATACCTTGGCAAACCTTTTCTTATGAATCTTGCAGGTGCTTATCTATTGTCTTCTGGGATGAGACATTGAACTGGAAACACGAAGTCAACCTGACTCTTACAAGTGACTTGATAGTTTTAAATAACTACACAAAAGACTTTTAAATAAATTTTTGATAAGTTCACTAATATATGTCATTGGGCAATGTTTGCTTTAATTTTTCCTGGCCCACAGGTAATAATTTCTTCAGCAATAAATAAGTAGCTCTTGTATTTCAAAACATTTTTATAACCACATTTAAAAATATTTGTTTTTTTCTCATTGTTTTGAATTTTTTTGGGGGGGACTTCAATTATGATAAGGTAGCACTCCCTTGCCAGACTTTACGTCTCTTTCACATTATTCATTTTTCTCATTTCTGTCCTTTCTCTCCTCTTTGTATTTTTGCAATGCTATTTTTCCCTTTTACTTCTTCCAGTTTCATTTTTATATATTGAGTTTCTTATTTCTACTTGCTTTCCGAATTCTGGTGCCTTATGCTTCATCTTCTCCTATTACATCACCATTTCTTCCCTGTCATAATTCTTGGTCTCCTTTCATGTAAGTGAGGGATTCACCAAGTTTTAAAAATTCCTGGCAAGCTATTTGGTCATAGTGTTTAACTCTGTATGGTATTTTTCATCAATTAGTAAGTTTTGCTGCTCTTTTAAATATTGTTTTTC